>NC_000003.12:81222121-81525151 GCF_000001405.40 Homo sapiens
CTTTGTCAAACTCCCAGATTCTGAACCTAGTTATTTCCCTCAGCTATGCAGGAAGAGGGCATGTGTCATCTCACTCCAACCCTGCACTCTGGCCATGTCTTCTCTCTTTACCCTTAGCAAAATTTCCTGAGTGACCCTTATAGCCTAAAAAATTATCTCTATATAGTAAAAATGCCTGAGTCTTCTGTTTCAAAAATCTCTCTGTATACAGTATAAATGTCAGCGTAATTTTGCAAGAAGCTGTCTCTATGCTTTTTAGCCAAATAGATCAAATAGGACATAAAGGGAAAAGTGATGGCCACTCCTTTCTCTTTTCCTCTATAAAATGAATGTGCGTGTGTGTGTGTGTGTGTGTGTGTACACATATATGTATAATTTTAGGTAGACTTTTTGATCACCACATCTGATTAGAACAGAACAGAGGCTCTAATGTTGAAATTATGAGACAATATGGTAAGGGAAAACCATGTAGTAGGAAGTCTTCTGAAAATTCACTAGGAATAAATTCGTGTGATTTGTTCATACCCATTGATATAATTTTTTAAAACTATAGCATACATAAAGTTACTAAATCAGTGAGAGTTTATATTTGCAAAATTGATTCAATTTCAAGTCAAATTACATTCTTTTTATTAAAATAAAATATTAAGTATGCTTTGAACCTTCAACCTTTTATCATTACATTTTACCTATCTACTATTACAATGATTATTCAATCTGTTCCATTCTTATTTTCCATTCTATGCTTCATGCATTTATAGCAATGAGAATTACTGTATATTTGAACTCTTCATCCTCTCAAGCTGCTACGGAACAGCTAAAAAGAAAAGGAAAAAAAACAACAACACAAGACTGTCATTGTTCTTATCTCAACACTGCCACATAGACAAACTTGAAATATCTAAGATTTTCATTCTTCTTGGAAATGGTTTTCAGCTTAAAGGCATTTGACCTGGAGTGAGGTTATATTTCAGTCAGCCTACTGAATGGTATCTAGAGAGGCCCGTCAGCAGAAGCTTGGCAGAAAAATGTGAATACAAGTTCAAGTGTCTGGTAGCTGAGAAAACTGGAGGAGGGCAAATCAGCTTGAATATCAAAGCTAAATTCTATCAGAATGGCAAAAGTCATTTCTAAAACAAGACATCTCGGGAAGGCATTAATTGTGAAATCTCAAATAAGAGTTGACCTATTTGACTGAAGGTCATCTTAAAGAGTTCTGAAACCATTCCTTGGGACACAAGCCTAAGACATTTTTATGAGGGGTGAAGAGATAAGATGCATGGCCAGAAGGTGTTGGTATAATGTGGCATGTAACCTCTTACAGCATCGTTGATGAATATAACTTATTTCAAAAGCCAAGAGCTTGACAAGGATTCTAGCAGAATACTGACATGGCATATGAGCAAAGAGTCTAAGGAATTTTATTCCAGGATGTCTAGCCAGGATATTTATAAACAGGAATCAATTCTAAATTGACAGTAGAGTAGACTATGCCAGGTTGAGCAATGATGATATTTTCTGATACGTGTAGAAATGATCAGGAGAGAGAAAATGTTTAAAACTCATAGATTGGCACCAGGTTAATCAAGACAGGTGTTAGTGCCTGGGTCACTATTCTGTGTATTCAGAGATGATGGCACAAAAGCCATCACTGCCTGGTCCTATGCAACATTTTTTCTCAAATTGAGCAACCTGATCTGTGAGGGCTGCCCATAAGCGTTGTCTGCTGGGCCACTTGGCAGCAATTTTCAGTCTATTTCTGTAAATTGAGCTTCACAGTGTCCTTTGAATGTTTCCCCTTCCAGATTGCAGGGGCCCCAATGCTGTTTAGTTTACAGGGCTCACTTTCAACATAATGTTGGAAGGGCTGCCTTCCAACATAATGGGGCCTAGATAAATTGAACGGTGCACCTCATTTTTATGAGCCCAGTAAAACTCCCACCAGCAGAGCAAGTGGGGGTTCTTTTCAGGTTTGGTGGAAGATAGAGGAAAATCATCAGAAGGGCAGTTGGTTATCTGTTTCTAGGTTTAGAACAGTGGGATATTCAAACTGCCCCAGTTTCTGGCCCAGAGTTTCTTTCATGATTCTGTAAGATTGTTGTAGGAGGTTCTTCAAGAATAAGTGAGCAGGAGTTCTTATGCTTCTGCAAGCTTGTGCTTAAACTGACTGAACAGTAGTAATCAGATATTCCCTTCCTAAGAATGGGAAGGTGATATGCACCAGGAATTTCTACTTGGGTCTTGTGGATAGTGCCACATTCCAGTATCCATATGTTGGGAGCTTTAGCCCAGGTGTCTCTAAAATGGTAACAAAGTAACTGTTCCTGTTCCCTCACTAAGATTTGAAATGCATGAAATTACTCATTATTGACTCTGAAAAACAACAGAAATTTGTTGTTGAGACCAGATAGGAGTAAATCACTGCCTCCCATTACAAACGGATAGCAAGACATTCCTGTATATGGGTGTATCTGTCCTTCCTTCAGACGCATTCACACAAAGGGCTGGGGGAAGATATCAAGGAAGACCATGAAGGGAGCATGATTTCTTTATAAAAACTGGCAAGCGTTAGAAATAGCATGTCTGTTTTCCTAATAATTTCCTCTCTACCCTGGGAGTTTTCACCAATAGATATTGGTAGAAAAGGAGAGCAGTTTGGTTACAACAACACATTATTGTAATCCTAGTTCAATTTGTAAGTACTACCAAGGAAGTGAGCTCATAAATTGAATATTCATTTATTGTACCAATATTGATAAGTTAGGAGGCCAACACTTTGAGTCTGCTAAAACTCATTTACTTGCAATGACCAATAGGCAGAAAAAAAACTAACAGCCCTGTAGTACATCAGCAATCCTCAAACATGCGTGACTGGACAAATCAAAACCCCTCCTTCCTTTGTGTGTTTTTTATTCCATCTGTGTGCATTTAGTGCCTCTCTCAGTGTTCTAGTTCACACTTTCCTGCAGGAAAGTCCCAAAACACGGTCCCATATTCATACCCAACTTGGCTTACATATCAGCTATAGGAAATGGCTTGGGGTCCTTGGCACTCTGTTGCCACCATCACAATCCTTTCTTGCAGGTAATCCCAAAACCAATTGTTTTTCTTCTAAATATACATAAACCACAGCCTACTTTTGTGAATCAAAACTATGTTTGAACCAGGATTTTATTTTCTGTTATATTAGAGACATTGGTTGATAATAAATTGGCTTATTTTTATTAAAACTCTTATATTTAGGTCTACTTAATTTTTTTCCGAAAGCTTGTTTCCTTCCAGCCATTAATTCTGTTTATTTAATGGTAATATTTGTACTTGAATACATTAATAGTTTCCATTGTTGCTATTACTACTTATCATTTTACTTCCCCAACCTTTTAAATCCAAAACACTAGTACTCCTTGTCGTAGTTACACCTCTATGAACCCAAAGTATTCTTTAATACCACTCGCACATGAATATAAAGGCTTCTAAATAAAAGGTCTGTTTGAAGAGTTTAAGAAAATGACTGTGAAAATTTCCAATAATGTGGATTGAAATAAGGCAATGCCTCAGTAGTCATAAAAACTCAATTTATCTATTTCAAAGCACACCATTTAGCCACTTTTCAGTAATTCGCATATTCTCCTAGCCCTTCTTGCCCAGGCTACCTGAATCTGTGAGATCCTCCTTTGATTTGAATAAAGTTCCCTGAGATTGTGATAAAACCACTGAGGTATAAGTGAAGATAAACATCACACACTATTTTACAGAGTTAGAAGTAATTATTTTTCTCTGTTACAAATTTCTCACTGCTGTTTTATCTATGGAATCTGCACTTGGCAGTGTGGATGGGATCCCTGTATTTCAGTTTCACCTCTTCTACTTTTGGTGATTTAGTTTTCTTAGGCACCACTCCACTCACAACTCCAGCTCTCCTTTTAAACTGGAGCTTAAACATAAGCTTTTCCTTTTAAGCCCCCTGCAGAAAACGTGCTGTTTCTCAATTGTCCCTAATAAAACTGAATAAAGAACACACTTCACTTTTGTATGTTATTTTTACTTTTGTTTTTAATAATAACAGTAGTCATTTTCTAATCTGCGTCTTTATTCAAACACGATTACTCCTAATCCCTTTATTTCTTTTTAGTGACTCTCTTACTGATTATACTTGAACAAAACAGAGAACATTTCTGTATCTCTTCTTTTTCCTGACTCCTTTGACAAGAAAGGATAATGAAAATCCAATTTTATTTATCCAGTTTTTTTCTTCCCACATGGATGAATTCTTTTGGTTCAAAGGGAATTTAGCTAAGGTTCAGGTTTATATCAAAGGAGAAATCCAAATTTTGCACTCAGTACAATGTCTGGAAAACTGTAAGTGCTTTCTAAATATTTATTAAGTGAATAAGCAAATTAAATATTCTCTTTATTATTGCTATATTGATGTAGCAAAATAAATAAAAACAAAAAATGTCATTCAGTTAGCAAAAGTATACTATGTTAATAAGATACAACCAAAAGAGAAAAACATAACCAAATATTAATATATTAAAAATATAAGTTTCTACCTTTTCTCAAAGTTAAAATTCTTCCTGTATTAAAAAGAATTGACCAATTCTAATGTAGATAACCTTTCCATCACTACCATTTTCAAACTTTTTTGAACATACAGTGATCTATGGGAGAAAAACAAAAACAGAGTTCTAAGACTCAAGCATTGGTATACGTAAAAGCTCCAACTGTAGAAAAATATTTATATATGAAGAGCAACTGCAACCTTGAGTAGGCTCCCCAGGCTGCCGGTTTTAAATCAAAATGAATCAAGTGTTGAGGAAGATTCTTGATTTTATATCACCAGTGTCCCCAAGGGCAGGGGTAGAAGCTCAATAAATACTTGTTGAATTGACTTTCAACACTTTGAGAAAGTAACTCTTTGGGGAATTGATGTTTCACTTTCTCTCAATTTTTCATAGCCCGTCCTGCCTAAAAGAGAGAGAAAAAAGAGAGAGAGAGAGAGAGCATCATTTTTAATATTTGCTTTACATTTTCCATGTTTTTCTTAAATATTAACATTTCACAAATGGCTTAGTTAATAATTCTAATTTTTATTGGTTTCAATGACAAAATAGTGAAAAAAAGGAAATGAAGTATAATTTTTTAAAAGGGAATGGAAAGAAATACTTGGAAGGAGAGAAAATCTGCCTGAAGTGGCAAAGAGTTTTATTATCATATAACATAAAATTGTGGGTTTGCATATGTGCAAACATAGATACACTGTATAATTGGAATTTACATTTGGCACAAATGAAATATAAAAGAGTTGAGACATTTTCTCTGGGTTAGTTTCATAATATTTAAGTAGCAGAGATGATTTTTTTTGGGAAATTTAAAATATCAGAACTGTCTAATAATTACTTTAAAAAACACTTTCCAGGAAAATATTTCCTTTCAGGTCACAAACTATTTGAAATATGCTGTTTTTTCTAATACAAAATGCAGAATACTGTCTCCCTGACTTTTAGAGAACTATTTATTTTCACAATATCACAGTATTTATATTCTCAGGAATTCTGATAATTTCAATTTTACAACAACAATAATATGTTTAGGAGATGAGAAGCTATGCAAATGTTGAAAAGTTTTCAGGATTTTACATATTATAAATGTACATACAAACATGTCATATTTATAATTACAGATGACATTTGGATTGATCATTTTTATTTCAACATTTAAAATCAGATTCAATAAATTCTGTTTTAGTTTTGTTTTGTTACAGCAAAGAAATGATAATGGTCTCAAAGAGCTGTAAAGCTCATTCTATTGAGGCTGATATTTGCCCCTAATTTTTTTTTTAATGTCGGATTAGTTACCACCTTGGAATAGTACAGCTTTAAGAAATCCTCAGGGGTTTTTTTCCCCCCTTGATAGATGTCATATTGAAGACAGTGGGTTGTTAGACCTTGGTAAGTAAATTTCACTATACAATACTTGCCTGTATGTAACTGAATTAACACTTTCAGGATAGCAGTGAGTAAACTGAAAGTCATCATCATTAAGTAAGGATTATATGGGTGAGCAAGTTATTCTTAGGCTGTTGACTCCTGGGAAATACAGCCTCCTTTCTTATTCCTTATTCTATCATATAAAGGTATAAATTATTTCAGTAACTAGATACAACTAAATTTTCATCATAGAAAAAAATGATTAATAGGGTTAATTGAAAACTAAACTTAAAATGAATATCAAATATTTTGCATATTCAAAACGCATAATGATTACAAGATTACTTCCTATAGACTGGGAAGCATTCTGAGTTGTTTGTTTGTTTGTTTGTTTGTTTGTTTGTTTTAACAGCATCTGAAAATATTAAATGTGGTTGTTTTCCTGATTATATATCTATTGTTCCTTGAAAATATTTTCTGCAACATCTTTCCGTTAAGCCAAAAGCAAAGTTGCCTATTCATGTGCTGCCCAGAAGTCAAAGGAGGTAATTAACTGTTTTCCACTTTATCTCCTTAGGCAATACCTGAATTATCTATAGAATCTAAACATTTTTCCACTTCCACTACTTAATAAAGAAACCATAATTTCCATATACAGTGTGGTGATTTCCTTCTAATGAGAAATGAATTGGGCTTTCTGTTTATACAATTGCTTCCCTTTCCCCAGCTGCAAAATTCTCTGGGGGCTTAGTTGGTTTAGCAGTGACTAGTTTTTAGTACACTCATAATACCACAGTTTCTAGATAAGCAACACCTATGTATACATATATACACACACACACACACATATATGTATATACACACATATATGTATATTTATATATATACACATATATATTTACATATATACACATATATATATATTTACATATATATACACATATATATATAAAAATATCAATTCTTAAATTTTCAAATCACATATTAAATGATGCCTAACCTTTGGCCATCACAGCAGGCTATTCTTCTCCAAGTCAATAGTGATAATATTTTTACAAGTTCTAGAATATTTACAACAAAAACACATTTGGAAAAATAACTGAAAGGAAGGCTGCTAAAAGTGTCGCTGAGAAGATATAGAGAAATCCAAGCCCTACCAGGGTGATCAGAGAGTTCTTCGTAAAAATCAGATCAGTGAACAGCCAAAAGTCTGCAGGGCTGGAGTGTGATTCTAATTGAGGAAACTGGTCGACAATATAAACCTTAGAAAAACATGTAAGTGGGATCGCAAGATGTTTGTGTTTATCTCATTCATAAAATAGGAGAAACACATTACACTAGGGGAAAATGAGCATTTAAATCATTTAAAAGGCATTTTCTGTTACGGTTATGGATGTTGCCCTAGACTTTACTCTCTATGAGTGAGATATTCCTTTCTAATACTCACCACCATTTTGTTCTCATTCCAAATGTATCCATTTAGCAGTTCCAAAGCATCCTGATACTGAGGAGGGCTTCCACAGAGTGGTGGAGGCAAATTTTCTTGGAATTGGCAAGGTACTTGTAAGTTAATGTGGGATAAGCTTGATTCATACATTGGTTCTTGTACATTGTATTAATGTGAGTCCGTCCCTGCCTGTACAACATCAGCTTTAAGTGAATTAATAGAAAATTGTTTTGGAAAGTACAAAACTAAGGATCAGACACGGAAGCAAAACAATCCTTATCAAGCGGAAGCCACTAAGTCAGGACACGTTTGTGAAGAAAACTGGCCTCTCTCGATGACATTATCAGGAAGTCCTCACTCACCGTGATCCCTTGTGGGCCAGGAGTCATGTCTTATTAATGTTGGTTTTTCTAGCACTGAGCAATTGCCAGTCACATAGTCAGTGCAAAGTAAAGTGCTATGATGTGATTGAATGTATGCCTAGGTTGTTTCTCTCTCAATGTGACACACATTTGCTCATTGTGTTATTTGCTTCTTAATTATTCTTTTTTTTTCGAGATGGAGTCTTGCTCTGTCACCCAGGCTGGAGTGCAATGGTGCAATCTCAGCTCACTGCAACCTTCACCTCCTGGGTTCAAGCGATTCTTCTGCCTCAGCCTCCTGAGTAGCTGGGACTACAGGCACCCGCCACCACACCCGGCTAATTTTTGTATTTTTAGTAGAGATGAGGTTTCACCATATTGGCCAGGCTGGTCTGGAACTCCTGACCATGTGATGGGCCCACCTTGGCCCTCCCAAAATGCTGGGATTACTGGCGTGAGCCACTGCGCCTGGCTTGCTTTTCAATTCTTTAGTTTATCCTAAGATGGATACATTTAACAAAATTTTTATTTATTTTATTTATTTTTTTATTTATTATTTATTTATTTATTTATTTTGGATGGAGTCTCACTCTGTTGCCCAGGCTGGAGTGCAGTGGTGCGATCTCAGCTCACTGCAAGCTCCGCCTCCCAGGTTCACGACATTCTCCTGCCTCAGCCTCCCGAGTAGCTGGGACTACTGGCGTCCGACACCACGCCCGGCTAATTTTTTTGTAATTTTAGTAGAAACAGGGTTTTACCGTGTTAGCCGGGATGGTCTCCATCTCCTGACCTCGTGATCTACCCGTCTCGGCCTCCCAAAGTGCTGGGATTACAGGCATGAGCCACCGCGCCCGGCCCATTTAACAAATATTTATGGGGTGCCCCTTACATGCCAGACACTGTTCTACATATTTGGAGTACACAAACAAAGCAAGCAAAGATTCTGACCTCTGTGGGATTTACTCAGTCCCTCTCATTTAAGGGCTGCCATCTGTCTCTGATGACCCTCTTCATTGTTTTCCTCAGTTTTTCATTTTGCTGAAGCTCGTTCTCTATACATAGCGATGCCTCTTCCTTTACTGACTGACATTCATATGTTGAATCATTTTATGTTCATCTAGCCCATATATCTGTGTTATTTCATATTCCCGGTTAGATCACAATAACTTTCATAGCAGTAATTGTGTGTTAGTACCAAATCCAATGCTTGGTTTTGAACTAAGCAAAGCTCTAGATGGTCTTAATACAGATACTATGTGGGTGCAATCTCTGATAGTGTCTTAGGTCAGGTTGTCCTCCAAGAAAGACTTTGATAAAAAGAACGGTCTGCAGGACGCTTATTAGAGAGTGTTCTCAGCAACAATGTCTGTGATGAAATTAGAGAAACAGAATTAGAGGACGAAATAGAATTTGTTTTGTAATTAAAGCAAACGCCCAAAATTTGACAAGTCCTGGAACTAGGATGACCTGTTAAGAGTTGTTTCTAATTAAAGCAAGTTAAGCTTTAAGCCATCATATTTAATAATCATTGAACATGGGCTATTGAGGACTCACTGTGAGCTATCAGGTGGCAACCCTCAAGAGTAGGTGAGAAATGAATACCTTGGTTTTGCATAAAAGAATCTGAGCAGTGTACATAGCATCCCCTATAATCCACCTCTAGGGTTGCTGTAGCCCCTGGCTTTGTTTTAGATGTTCACCATATCTGGAGACATCTCCTCCAGGATTCTGGATGGTATCTTTTCCTGATGAAACTTATATGAAGATGGTTAGTGAAAAAAAATATATAGTATTATTGCTGCAGCTGCTATCAGGGTAATGCTGATATTTATTTATAATTCCTTTCCTCTGTTAACTATTCAAGATTTCCCTTACCCTCCACTAGCACCTCTGTAAGCCTAAATGGTTTACTTGGGGATAGCCCAGACCTTCATTGCTGAGGGCTCCGAGTCCCTAGCCACCATCTCTTTCTCTAGCCATAGCTTCAGTGCTGCTCATGTGCTGTAAAAATTGGGTAAGCAGTAGCAAGAGACATCCAAGTTGATCACCTGGGAGCCATGCATGTCCTTGCCTTTCCCTGTTATATAATAACAGTTCTCACTCTTCCTGAGGTCAGGGTGAATTATCTCTCCCAACGTGGTGATTCCTTTTCTTGCTTGTTGGTCTCCTCCTGAAAGGAGTCTCTAATGATCTGGTGGCAAACAAAGCTGAAAACTGAAATGGGGCTCTTTTTGTGTCCCCCAGCAGGAGCATTCCACTTCTGAGCATTATGATCCCCAAGCTCACAGAGTCTAACAACTTCTCCAAGTAAGTCAATGGAAATAATGGGTAAGTAGGGCCATTTTTACTTCTATCCCTTGGTGCCTGGACTCAATATTGTCCTTTTTAAAATACAGACCTGTCCTGAAAATTGGTGCTCCTTCTAAACTGGCACCTCAACTATGCTTACCAAAGGCCCTCTGTTGTTCTATTATACTAGCAGCTTCTGGATGGTGAGGTATGTGACAAAACCAGTGGATGCTGCTTCCTTTGCTGTCAAGTGCGTCATTTGGTCTGTCCTGATGTTGTATAGGATTCATATTAATGTATTAAATACTTTGTATGTCTGCAGATATAAGGACTGGCCCAGGCTGCAGTAGGACTGGCTACATAATTTGTTGTTCCCATAAAAAATAAAAATGTGGGGTCCCTTGTTCATGTGGCTATACAGGTCATATGCCAACAAAATTAGCCATTAAATATAGGCATAAATAATAAATTCATAATGGAGTGTGTGTTGATTCTAGGCCAAAAAAAAAATCACTGCCTTTTCCAGGGAGCAATGGGTTCAATGTAATCAATTTGCTGCAAAATGACTGGTCTCAGGGGATAGTACTGTTGGTGGCTCAACGTGGTTTCTTTGCTAAGATTGGATATTCAGCAATGCCAGATTAGCCTTGGTGTATGGAGCTTATGCTGTTGGGTCTATACATAGCTTGCATCCCTGTCACCATGGCTACCCTATTCATGAACCCATCGTGCCAGAATTATTTTGGCCAATGTCAGAGGCTGGCTGACAACAGCTGGCTGAATCACTCTTGTCTAGCTAGTTATTTAGTGGCTCTTTCATGGTGGATAAGCTCTGATGAGAGTTAATATCACATCAAAATGTTAACACATTGCCATGGGTCCATCAACATGCCTCTTACTCAGATCACAAGCTTCCTTATCTATTTTCTTCTGTGCACCTCGCCAATAAGCCAGGCTATTCACCAAGAATATGATTTAGTATATAGTCTTACCTCAAACAACTGTTTCTACTCAAAGTAGATTATTGGGTATACTTCATGAAGCTCAGCTCATTGAGAGAATCTACTTTCACAGCCATGCTTTAAAATCATTCCTGATTTGGGTTCAAGAGCAAAAGTAGACCTTGCATATACACACTGAGGTCACATATCTGTGAGCCAAGCTCAGCTTTTCTCCTCTACCATCAGTTGATCATACGGAATCCCCCATGGGTATGTAGGTGTGAGCTAAGAAAGAACAAAAAGTGTAGCAGTGATAGTGACAACAGCTTATGGATGAACTCTGATCCTGCTGGTTCTAGAACTTGAGTGTAATGAACAGGGTTCTTCAGAGAAATATAACCAATGGAGGAGAGAGAGAGAGAGGGAGAGAGGGAGAGAGAGAGAGAGAGAGAGAGAGAGAGAGAGAGAGATTTATTATAGGATTTGGCTCATGCAATTACAGAAGCTGAGAAATTTCACAATCTACCATCTATCTGCAAGCTGGAGAATCAGGAAAGCCAGTGGGTGTCATTCAGTCAAAAGTTCTGATCTGCGTTCAAATACCCGAGAACCAGGAGAACCGATGTCTGAGGGCAGAAGAGAATAGACATGCTAGCTCAAACACAGAGAGCAAATTCACCCTTTGCTATAGTTTGGCTGTGTCCCCACCGAAATCTCACCTTGAATTATCACCTTGATTATTAAATCCCTACATGTCAAGGGTGGAGCCAGGTGGAGGTAATTGAATCATGGGGTTGGTTTCCCCCAAATTGTTCTCATGGCAGTGAATAAGTCCCATGAGATCTGATGGTTTTACAAATGGGAGTTCCCCTGCACAGCCCTCTTGCCTGCCATAGTGTAATACATGTCTTTGCTTCTCCTTTGCCTTCCACCATGATTGTGAGGCCTCCCAGCCATGTGGAACTGTGAGTCCATTAAATCTCTTTCCTTTATAAATTATCCAGTCTTGGGTATGTCTTTATTAGCAGGATGAAAACAGACTAATATACCCTTCCTCTGTCTTTCTGTTCTATTCCTGCCCTCAGTGGGTAGGATTATGCCCCCCTACATTGGTGAGAGTGTCCTTCTTTACTATACCTAACAATTTTAATGCTAATATAGTCTGGAAACACACTTGAAGACACACCCTAAAATAATGTTTTACCAGCTAGAGGAGCATCCCTGGCCCAGTCAAGTTGACACATAAAATTAACCATCACACTAAGCATATTCTTTCTTTCTTATAAGAGATTGCCACCCAATCTTGTGTGTGACAGAATTCACCTCATAATGTGTATGTTTAGTTTCATGATTAGTCAATGTTCCATGATTAGGCACTTTGTCTGTGCCAGATCTAAGTAACATGCAAGAAGCTATTTTCAAATGGTGTATATTTTTATTTTGCAGATCACATGGCCTTGCTTCAGACACCTATGGCTCCAAGTTGTTATCCTCCTGTTAGGGTTAGCCATTAGCTCTGCTCGGCAATGTTGCCTGTCACAGGTATATCTAATACTCTAGGGCCTTCTAGATGATATGGCCCAAGCGAAAGTACTATTTGCACCATGGGCCAGACCTACTAACACAGCTCTTCTCTGGACCCCTTTCAAACCTGGCGGTTTTCCATGCTACTCAGTGAATGGATTAGAGAAGCATTTTTAAGTGTAGAATTTGTCAATCCCAAATCCAAAGAGACCTACAAGGTTTTGTACCTCCTTCATAGTAGTAGGAAGTGTGAGAGGAAATAAGTTGTCCTTTACTTTATAGGAAATGCCCCCAGCATGTCACAGAGCACTAATGAAATGGGCTCCTGAATCTCTGCAGGTTTTTTCCCATCTTTTTGAGTGCATATGATTGAAAATACCCTCATTGTATTTGGAAATTCTTGCTCATCTTGTCTGATTACATTATATAATCAATGACGGGGCAATGTGATGTTCTGCAGAATATCCTGATGGCCTAAACTAGACTATGATAGGATGAAAGAGAGTAAACACCCACCTGGGTCAAGACTGCAGAGGTATCCTCTTCTCTGCCACATGTGAATGTGGACTACTTCTGGTCCTCCTTACAGACAGTGATAGAAAAAAATCCATTTATCTGACCAATGGACACGTATCAAGTACTTGAGTCCACGTTAATCTTCTTTAGCCAAGATACTACATGTAGGAGAGCAGCTGCAATAGGGGCAAATACTTATTTGAATTTTCAGGAATTTAACTACCCTTTAAGATCTGTCTTTCTTTGGTAGTAGGCTAGTAAATTACATGGAGGTAAGATAACGATTACTACCTCTGCGTTATTTAGAAATTTTAGAATGTCATTAGTATATTACTGTTTTTAATGTATTATATTAGCTGGGGGTTACTTTAAAAGACTTCCACTTGCCTTTCCTTACTGTCAGCTCTTATGCTACAGGCAGATAAACTGATGTTGGGGTTTTGCCAACTACCAGATATGTCCATTCCAGTTGTACACTTGGGATTGAGGAAAGGGCCCATGGAGAGGTGCATGAACACATCTGGGCCAAGCAAGCCATTTATTACCTGACTCTCCCATGTGCCCATGAAAGAAAATTCTAATATAAACCATAAATGAAAAAAAAAGCAAGAAGTAATTGTACAATAAAGGATTTTAATAAAAATATGTATATGAGGTCATTAGTATTCACCAATATAGTAACACTGTCCCTCCCAGTAAGAAGTTCCCATCAAGATAGTATTTAGAAAATCATATGAAATTTTTTTTTTTTTTTGAAACGGAGTCTCACTCTGTCGCCCAGGCTGGAGTGCAGTGGCGTGATCTCGGCTCACTGCAAGCTCCGCCTCCCAGGTTCACGCCGTTCTCCTGCCTCAGCCTCTCGAGTAGCTGGGACTACAGGGGCCCACCACCACACCTGGCTAATTTTTTGTATTTTTAGTAGAGACGCAGTTTCACCGTGTTAGCCAGGATGGTCTCGATCTCCTGACCTCATGATCCACCCGCCTCGGCCTCCCAAAGTGCTGGGATTACAGGCGTGAACCACCGTGCCCAGCCTCATATGAATGTTTGATTCCACTAATAATCTATTTTAAAACAAACAAACAAACAAAAAGAAAGAGGAAATAAACAAAACATCAGGAATTTTGTTTCATTAATTATAACTCCAAGCAATTTGAAGGATTGATTCAATATGGAATCATTAATTTGAAAATAATTTTACATTCAGTGGATATTCAGATTATTTGGGGTAGGAGAAAGATAACAATCAGCAAAACATTTAAGTGATCTTCTGGACAAGGAAGAGGCTTGGACACCAAGGGGTACAAGAGTAGAAAGATTTGGCCCTTATACATTCCTGCTTCATTACTACTCATTAATTACACTACCACCAATGTAAATTTTCCATCACACTCTCACCTAGTCATTCTGTATTACAGAGTTCTTTTACTGCAGAATCTGAGCTTAGGTTTTTCCTTTTTTCGTTAACCCATCGTGTATATGATCTGTCTGACACATGTTCCTGTCACCATAGCCTCAAACACAGCCTGGCAGTTGGTAGGCCTTCTGTAAATAAAGATGGACCAAATGAATGAGGGCACATGTCATGATCTGAGAGTACAGCGCTCAACAAGCCTCAGTTCTGGTCCTTGTGGAACAGTTTTTCAGTATGGAAGATTATCATGTTAGCGTGTAATCACAGTGTAATACTATTAGCCAAACGCAATATAATTGGAGCTACTACAGGGAGCTTCTAAAGCTTGGGGCTGCAAAATAAGGCTCTCCATAAGGAGCGTCACCTCATCGAAAACCTGGAAAATGAGTAGCAGTCAAAGAGGCTATGTATGGGGCGTGACTGGGTTTGTGGTGACACAGGAAAGAGCATTCCAGGCGAAGCGTTACAGCTGATGAAAAGGCCTGGATTCAAGAGAGAATTAGGTAAACAGCACTTGGTTTGCCAAAGTCCCTTGATGTATGTATATTTTTAATATTTTGTAGGTTTCAACTTCCAATCCTTCAGAATACTAAAAAGCAATAGACAATGAAAATAATAAACATGATTTATATCTGCTATTAGGCATACACAACAAACACCTTGATCTTCAGAAAAGCTAAAGATAGAATCCTTATGAAAAAAGATTTTGATTCCATAAGGTACAATATTCCATTTCATTATGCCTTCTTCTAATGTTTATAATGATAAATAGGTTGTCATCCTAATTCATCAGAGAAACATTTTAAAAAACCCCATGAAGACTAATAATATGATAATGTGTGTCTATTATACGCCACCTTGAGGGGAAAATCTATAAGTAGTAAAGTAGTAATTTTGTGTCATGTAGACATTTCATATTATCAAATGACAGAGGCTGAAAGTTAAAGTGTTTACCAGTTTGTAGGCAGGGTGAATTATTTACATGATGCAGTTTTATTTTTACAATCTATTAGATTAAGAATAACTTGAAAAGACATTTGATTGTATCTAATATTCTGGAAAAGTGTGAATATAGCACATTATTTTATACTTACAAATTAATATCTAACAGTTTTCTCAGGGATTTTATATATATTTACTGGAAAATGCCAACAGATGTTTTGTTAGAAGCCTATCGCCTGGTTTATACTGATGTTAAGAGACAGTGCAGGAAATCTAAAAAATCATGATTTAGCTATAAACTTTTTTAGTATTCTGAGTTTATTGTTTTGACATATTGACTATGAGAGCCACTGCTTATGGAGGAAAACTCTATATTTCCATTGTCACTTGGTCTCAGTCATTAGCAATCTTATGGGCAAAGTATTTTTAGGGTTAAAAAATATAGAAAGAGTATAATGTCCTTTAAATGTTCTTTCATGCTGGTGTTTGAATCCTAAAAGTAATGGAAAGAATGCTGCAGCCGTGGTGATATGAACAGCATTGAACAATGTTGTTTTATATGCAATGATGGTGCATAACAGGAGAAGCCAAAATGAGTCAGACGAGAGTATATCAAGTCCATTTTCCTCGTTTTGATTCAGAGGTTTTTTGCTAAAAATCAGAAGCCAGTCTTAGTGGCAAGCTTCAGAAAACTTGCACGGCTCTGATAAGAAAGGACATCGCTCATAAATATTCATTAAAAATTACCTTTTCTGGATCATGAATTTTTCAAGCAGACACTGATTTGACCTCTACAAGGAACAAAATCCAGCCTATAGTGGAGTGTCTCCTATTTCTGACAAAAAAAAAAAGGTGAAAAATTGGTTTTCCCAGCTAAGCAGCTACTTTGTACACTGTGTGAGGTCCGAGGTCAGTTACCTCTGTGCTCCACACACTTGAGCATTAATATTCATTCGAATTACAATCTTTAAATTCTAAAGTCCTGTTCTTACCTCTTTGAAAAATTGATTGTAAGGCAGGCCAAGGTTTGCATTTTAACTAATTTTTAAAGTAACTTCATCTAACTTCTCTGTTGCTAAAAAATGTATGAATTCAGTAATTTTCTTTTTTTAAAAAAATCGCATCTGCCTGTTTTGAATATATATGCCCTCTCACTAAGGATAAAAGCCATTTTTTCCTGGTAATTATCTGCAGAGTGGGTGAATGGATGGAAACGTCTATACTTATGTCTATCAGAGAGCTATTGTCATTTAATCTTCATATAGCGCCTCACATTGGGTACACACAAAAAAAGCTTTGCATTATTTTGGGTGTGGCTTTTGTTGTCATTGTTCTTCCTTCAGGGTCACAGTGGGGTAGTCAGCATTGCCACATGCATTGTTTAAATAAAGTAACTGATAACTAGAATATGAATTATGATAGCTAATAATGTTAAAACTTAGCATCTAAATCAGGATGTTTTTCCGGAACTTATCTCAGGTTCTTGTTTCAGTTTAAATTCTAGACCTTATACCGAAGGTTTAGAATGATGTTTGGGTTACTTCAATGAGTAACAAATAGTGGCCAGAATAACACGTCAAAAACTGTAGTTCAAGCTGTCATGGAGTAATTCTGATTTTTTTCTTATGCAGCTAAACAACAGTAACGGTTTTCTTATTACACTGAATTCTAATCTCAACTTCTTCATTTTCTGGATTTGTGACCTTGAACTTAATTTTAATCTTTCTTTGTATTGCTTTTGTATATGAAAAATGGAGGTACCTAGTTTAGAAGATATACAAGGCACCTAGATTTATGCCTGACACTCAAAAATAGTTATGTTTTAGTATAGAGTTGCTTGATTTGAGTACCTTGTAACTTACCACAAAGACTGGTAATATAACTTTTTCTGTGATGTAGTCTTCAAGACAAATGACAACGGGTCAAACTGGAAGTTTTCTCCTTTGCCCTCTCTAAAAAATGTCTGTAAGGAAGTAGCAGAAGAAAACAGGAAGTATCGCCAAAAAGGTGATTGAATTAGAGGTCCTGTTTCTTCTAGATTCTTCTATTTTTATTCAAAATTCAATCCATACTACCTCCTAATTTAGGTGCATATATGATTGATATAGGACAATTCTTTGGGGATGAAACCTGCATTTTGTATCAATGGCCTTGGTGATTTAATAAGTAAGGTGCTGCTAATGCTGCATCTTGTTGACCTTCTCTCCTTTTCTAAGTCCTACATATCGATACTTCTAGATACAAGAACCCTCAGCCTTTCCTTCCTCAATACAATCGTGTATGACCCCACTTCCACTTCTTTAATTTCAGAGGGTGGAAAAAAGAAGAAAAGTTATGTAGGGGAGGCCCAGAACCAGTCTGGAGTTTATCTGCTCCTGCTTCCATTACCCTTCCTATGCTTTCTTCACGCCAGGGCTGCCAGATTTAACAATGGAAACAATATGACATCCAATTAAATTTGAATTTCAGATAAACACTGAATTTTTACTATAAATATGTCCCACACAATACTTGTGACATAATAAAAGTTGTTTGTTGTTTAGCTAAAATTTAAATTTAACTGTGTACCCTGTATTTTATCTGGCCACTTTCTTGTATTTATTCAAAGATTTATTCAAAGAATCTCTTACATAAACATTTCTTTTAAACTTTTGCCCATTATCCTCCTCACTCATATAGAATGAATGAATAAGTCGCCAATGTAGTTTGTACTTCCTTTTTATACTTCAGATTATGCCTTAGATGTAAATAACCAGATACATTCCCCATGCTTCTATTTCTACTGCAAAGCCATACACAACTAGAGGGAGTTAGGGTCTGCATTCACCAACCTAGATAGAATTCCTTAATGGTCAAACATACCCTTAAATATTTGTTAGGATGTCATCTCGTAGGCTCTCACACAATCTCTTAGCAAACCCATTATGTTCTGTTTATCTTCCAACATTAGAAAATGCTGCTATTATGTTGTTGATGATGTAGTTGTTACTGAGCACCAAATGAATCAGGTGGCTTGGTATTAGCACCATGTTGTATGAGAAATACATGATTAGTCTTTGGCTCCTGATGGTAACCTAAAAATGTTTGCTTATGTAGTTTTTATAACAGAATTTGATCTGTTGTCAGAAATATTATTTTATTACATTTTATATTTCTAAGAAAAGTCAGGAAGGATGGGAAGAAAGAAGCAGGGAAGGAAGGAAGGAAAGAAGGAGGGAAGGAGGGAATGAGGGAGGGAGAGAGGGAAGGAGGGAAGGAGGGAGAGAGGGAGGGAAGGAAGGAAGGAAGGAGGAAGAGAGGGAAGGAAGGAAGGAAAGAGGAAAGAGAGAGAAGCAAGGAAAGGAGGGAGGGGAGGAGAGAGGCAGGGAGAGAGGGAAGGAAAAAGCGAAGAGAAAAAAAGAGAGAGGCAAAGAGAGGGAGAGAGGGAGAAAGAAGGAAGGAGGAAAGAAAGGAGAAAAGAGAAGAGCTTTCATATTTGTAGTATTCAGAACTAGCATTTCCTACATAGTATCCAAGAAAGACCATGATATAGAATGAAAATTCACATAGAGCCATCTTTAGATAAGAATCAAAAGATCATCAAACACATATAATATTTAGTGAATATTAATATATGGCATCTTAAATGTGAGAGAACACAAATGTAGTGCACAAAATTTAGATGAATGCATTTTTTATGAAGACAGGCCTAAAAAATCACTCTACCATAGTGCTTCCAGTACGAATTTTATTTTTTTGGTTAAAGAAGCATGTTTTGTTTTTTAAGAGCTACTCAAACTTTTTCTCTACCAGGCAAACAAAACAGATCATGAGAATCCAAACATGTATTCAGACAACTTTTGTAACAGGACAGTTCATATTAGAAAATGATCGCCCTGCTATGAAACGAGCTCTCAGCACAGGGGCTTTTGGCTACATCACTCTGCAAGCACCATAATAGCTACTTTTTCTCAAATGCTAGAGTTCATTTTTAATATTAAAAGCAATATTTCACTATTCTATTATCTTTTTGTTTTTACATGACACTTAAAATTAGTTTCTGACAGATACAACTACCCATACATAGAATAGTGTATTGAGCCGATGTGTTTGTTGTGAGAAATACAGTCAGAAGAGAATTTTATTATGTTTTACATTTGATTGTTTATGCACGACAGTACATTTAAACTGAGTTTCAGCAAGCCAGTTGCCAGAGATTCAAAGCCTGACAAATAGCACATTCTCTTCACTAAATAAAGAATGTACAGGAACCCACACCAGCTTACAAGTTATTCTTTATGAACAACAGAATTGCTTTTTGCCTATTTCAAACAGAACCCTAAATGTGCCCAGCACAGCAAGAGAGAGCATAGGAAGCAAAGAGAGTTTAATATTCCAGCCCAGCTCACTGGAAACAACCACCACAAAAAACTAAAATGACAGAGCAGTGTTCTGTAGAGCAACATGATTTGTCTGCTTTAAATGGAGAATAATGGTTTTAAGTTTAGAGCAGAACTAAAGGGCTCAATTACTATTCATGGATTCTGAATTGTTCTACTTTAGAAACTCCTTTAGCATGAAATGTTCATCAAAATCAATGCATGAAACTATAGAAAAAAAATAAAAACCCAGTTTCCCATATGAATAAAGGACTTCCCAACTAAGAAAGTCTATAAAAAAAAAAAGTATCACCAGTTTACACAAACCCATCTTAGGCAGTAGGACTAAACATTTTAAAGTAATAATTTTTGGTTGAATGTTGATAGGCAGAAAATTTTATATATATAAAATCCAAAGTCGTCATATAGAAGACTTTAGTACTAAGCTACCATTGATTTTCTTTAATCTTTAAAAACTATACTAATGGTTATCCAAACTATATGGACATGCTTTTTACTGAAACAAACCATTGTCCTTGGAATTGAGTAGGTTTACTGAAGACAATAGTGTAACAGTAAATTGAAAAAATATATGATTTCTTTAACTATTTTTGTATCTGACTGTAAGGATCTGATTAGTAGCTTTCACACTAAAGAACAATAGAGCTGTGAAAAAATTATTCAGTAATAGAACAGTTGATAATCCTTTGGTAATTAGAGATAAGTGACTTTTGTTTGCTTTTTTCCCCTATATATTCCCCCAAATATTATGTTTTTCTAAAATTATGCAAAAAGAGGATGACGTGACTCCCCAATCATGTATTTAGAAAAAGAAAAATGCCTATTAATTTGTGAAATATATTAATTTAGATTGGTTTCCCCCGACTTACTTTCTCATGAGGATAGTATAATCTGAAAATCATTGGTAATAAACTAAGGTAAAAATGCATTACTATGTACAGACTTCTGTAGGAAAACATTTGCTTTTATATTGACATTGGCAAAATTTCATGTGGACTATTATGGATTATAATTGCATTTCATTTTGCTATATTAAAAAGTGTCAAATCCTAAAACCAAGCAAAACATTATCTGTGTTTTTTTTCATTATGTAGGAGAATGGTAAAGTCCTGAAGGCAATTTGAAAGCCGTAGTTAACCAGCTCCTTCTGTTTGCATATTCAATCCCTCAATGTAACATATGCATAATTTGATCATCATTGTGTGCCATCTGGAGTATACTGATTGAACTGCAGTTTGAAAATGAGGGTTCAGAGATAATTTGGTTGCATACATTTAGAACTGAAATGTCTCTCATGGAGCAGAACAGAGTTATTTAAAAACATAACTATGACTAAAAGATGAAAATATATTCCATAAACTCAAGAAAACCAAGGAAGACAATTTTAAGTCCTCAAGCTTTTCACTTTAAAACATCTTAAAATTTTATTAGCAATGGTATTCTACGGGAATTGTGACAAAAAACATTTGTACCTACCTGTTAGAGCAATAATTATACTTTTTCAACCTAGTTTACATATTTTATTTAATTTATCTTGGAAGATTTAACCCATTATCAACAAGCAATATCAGTTAAAACATTGGTATACTAATTTTTTTTCACTAACTGTTACTTAATGTTAGGTTAGGCTTAAAACTTGCATGAGTTCATCACATTTGAGTACCACAGCTGAGCACTAATTGCCATAGAAGCTCATGAGTGCCATATTGAAGACTGAAGATTGTCTAGTCCAGAACTTTTACTTTCAGATGCCAGAGTGTGATGTCAAGTGAGATACTTTATAAAATGAAAGATACAATTTTAAAATGAAATTACCTCTCATATAGTTTTAAGAGCAATAGTTTCTCATAGCCTCCTATTGGAAACCTTATTTTTTTTTTCACGTTTTCTAATACCACTGAATGGCTGAGCCACCATATTATGATGGGTTACTTATATTACATGGTCAAAAGTATTGCCATCAAGAAGGAAATTACATGACCTAGACTTGCTAAAAATACTAATAATTTTCGAAGGGCTTTAGGTGGTGTATGAGCATTAGCCTACCTGCATAATACATGCTACTCTTTCTTACCGGAGGAAGAGAACTTTTCTCAAATTACGGGTTTCCCAATTTATGTAAGAAAGAACCCTATTATCAAACAACCTTCTGTTACTCTATTACCAAGCAATACCACCTCAGGTGCTGCTTTCTTGCTCAAACTAAAGGCAAACATTGAGCTTCCCCCTGTAGCATTGGAGTCTTCTCCCTCCCTTTATTCCTTTAGTAGGCACAACATTTTCTGGGATATTCTCATACTACTATGATTCATTTGCTCCACAACAGAGGAGATGTCAAGGCTTGAGCTTAAATACTTTGAACTGAGAGGTAGAGAGTGCGAGTGGACATTCTCAGACAATCATGGAATCCTCGCCACTGAGTGAGGCAATTCACAACTGCATTTCCCCTTTATTTATCCAGAAGAGCAGAGAGGAGCAAGCATCTAATCTATTATGATCCCGTCACAGAACATGACATTCTAATTCAGTCAGTAGGGACTCACAATAAACTCAAAACCACATTGAGTGCCTCCCTGGTATGACAATTGATTACATCTCTTAACCTTTCTGCATCTGTGGTACCATCTGGAACATTTAGTGCTTACATTTTTGCACACAAAGAACAGGTAACAGCATATAGACCCAAATACAAACTCACTCCTTCTACTGTAAGGCTGCAACAACAATAAAAAGAAAACAGTAGGCAGAATAACCTTGATTTCACAAAAGATGTCATTCTAAAGAAAATTGAACACATAACCCCAAAAATAATACGTTGTGGGATATCTAATATAGGATTATCAATTCAAAAAGTTATCCATTCACCCTTTCAAAATGGATTTAGCCGTAGAAGAGACAAGAAATACATCATATAAGAAACTATTATGTACATACATTATACTTTATTCAAATCTAAGTACAGTAGTGAGTACTAATATCCTATATTAGTATACAACTTGATCAAAGCTACAGAACATTAAATTATGGAGTAAAAATACAGACCCAGTTTTACTCCCCACATCATTATTCTTTATATTGCATTATTAAATTTAATCCAGTTTAATATTAATCCTTTTGACAAATATTTATGAAATGCTATAAAATATGTTAGGAACCTCTTTTAGTTGATGAACAAGTGGCAAATCCCTTTATTATACATAAAGAATTGTGCTAAGTAAAGGATAAAACTTGTTCCAAGCAAAAGTTTAGAACAGGGTTTCTCATTTGGGACCGGATAATACTTTACGTTACCCCAGAGCTCTCCTGAGCATTCTAGAATTATCTAGCAGCATTTCTTCACTACTTGGCATGCCAGGAGCACTCCCTCCCTCAGTCATTACAAATGTCTTCAGACATTGCCAAAGAATGTCTTCTGGGAGCAGCCCTTTACTCCCACCACTAGCACCACTGAGAACTATTTGTTTAAATTAAGGTGGATGGACAAGTTTTTATGAATTACATGAAGAATGTAAACTCCTGGGGGGAACAGGAATTGTCCTAGTAAGCTGCAGCATTTAATGCAGGAACCCTCTCAAAAAAGGAAGGGAAATACTGGTTGATAAAAGGATAAATGAATGAAAAATGAGAGAATAAACTGCAAAAAAACATTCTTCAGTTAAAGCCAGAAATTAACACTATTGCAAACACTAGTAAATTCAAATAAGTGAGAGAAAACAGGCTGGTTTTCCTCTTTTAGATTTCTTGCACTAGTTCCCAGACAGAGGAAAAATAGAAAGTATGTGAGAAAAAGCATTACTCAAATTGGCACACACTTCTGCCATCACCGTGCTTAGAAGTTTTCTTCTCTCATTTGTCTTAGCCAGGCTCTTGGCGTCTGGCAGTGAGCTCTCATGACCCATCGCCAGCTGTGAAGTATGGCAGAAATTCACAAATAATTGTTTTTTCCATAGAATAGAAGGATTATAATGTTAGTCTTTGATAACATCATTCTTACACTCTTGTGTTTCTAAGTACCTTCTTAAGTGAAAGGAAAAGCAGATTTATGGCAACACATGGGGAAAACTCAGCACCCACAATCTCTGTAATCAGTGTAAAAGCCTTAGTGAGTGTGGTTAGGGCTGTACTGATGTACACTTAACTGTTGGGACAATTACGAATCATTGCCGTGCTTGAACATGCAACTTTATAATGACTTCCATTTCCTCTCTAAATTTATTCATAGATAAATTTTTAATAATGATAGAAGCAAGGATAGATGAAGAATAACAAATCAAAAGACAAGATTATTTTAGGGCAACATTCACATCCACATTAACAATGGAAAAACTGGTACTTTGTATGTGCTGTAAATATAAACAATATATTACACAGTAATAGCAGGTAATCTTGAGTTCTTTATGAATTCCATATCATACTATTTAACTCATTCAACAACTTTTACAGATAAGGAAATTGAGAAGTAGGAAGTTTACCAATGATGCTCCCTTAAGAGGACACAGGGTCTCTCTGAACATAAGGCTCTTCTAAGGCTTCCTCCCTGAATTCTGTTTCATTCCCAGATCCCAGAATGAGCTTTCAGAAGCCAGTGAGTGTCTCTGGAATAGCATGTCAGTGAGACCCAAACAGGACACTTAATTCCAGTACTAAAGATGACAGTTCTTCAAGAATGGTCTCCAGCTATTTCCTCTGAGCAGGATTCTGATGGTAGAGGGCTTCTGAGGCTTTGCCAGCTTGAAGCAGGATCAAATCACACCCAAGCTGTGATCTTAGTCTGAAGAGAGCTGAATCTTAGTCTCACAAACAAGAGCACACAGAAGAGGTTTGGTTGGCAATTTGGGAATCATGAGAACATACTGAGATCTACTGCCCCTGTACCTGTTTGTTGGTTACCCATTGCAATCAGACTTGTTTGGTCTCCCAAGTTTTTAGTAGAAGAGTATATATACACTCTATATTCAAACCATTTCTCTCTTGTCAGGCACATTTCTGAGTCACCTACTCAGTTGTCATCTTTATTCATGGCAAGATGTCCATTTTTGACAATTCATTGCTTTTCAGCATGAAAAGAGAACACCACTGCTTAAATATGGAGAAAGTTCCACTTTCAACAGTTGAAGTAAACTGCAGCATTTTTATACTCATCAGTGAAGAAAAGGAGGTTTGCAAATCCTCACATTCCTGCTGTTTCTACAAAGTGCATTACCTAAGGATTATGAATTCTAAAGATTTTACAAACCAGGAGAATTTATCAGGGGACACAAAGAAAAAAAACTTTCCTGTCAAAAATTGTAATTTCTCAAGAAATTACCAATGAATTACAGTCACTTATGAGATCCCATTTTGCAATATGTAATTAACAGACCAAGGCAGGGTCCCAACCACAACCAACCACTTCAAGTACATAGCCCCTGCACCTATGTGCATGGGTGACTGATCAATTTGTCCTTCCCCAGTCCCCATTCCTGTAATTGCATTGCTGGCTGGCATGAGAAGGAATCAAGCTCATTTGGCTCCTGTTTCTTCTAGTCAAATAAAGGGCTCCTTTTCAAACAAATGACAAGTTGTTTGAGTACCTAATGTGGGCTGCACATTTATATTACTGTTGCAAGCACACAGCTCCTGGCAAAGGAAACAAGATATCATTTCTTCGGCAAAAGGCTGCACTATTTGTATCTATCTGGAAAAAAAAAAAAACCCATATGAACCAAATAAAAGGGAACTAGGGGAGGATAAAAGAAATGTGAAAGCAAAACAGGACGTGTGATTGACACATACCTATAAGACATGCCATTGGCTAAGATACTGAATGGGCTTCCGGCCTCGGAGGAACCTACTATTTCCTGGATCTTCTGAGACAGAACTATAGTCATGAGCTGCATCATGATGTTTTGGTCAATGACGGACCACATATTCAGTGATGGTCTCATAAGATTTTAATGGAGCTGAAAAATTCCGATCACCTGGTGGCATTGTAGCTGTGACAGTTATGCAACACATTACTCTTGTATTTGTGGCAATCCTGGTTAATCAAACCTAATGTGCTGACTGTCATTTAGAAGTCTTCATACATACAATTATGTACAGTACATAATACTTGATAATAACTATGTTACTGGTTTGTGTATTTACTATATTATACTCCATCATTTTGAGTGTACTCCTACTTATATAGAAATTATTAACTGTAAAACATCCTCAGGCCAGTCCTCCAGAAGGTATCCAGAAGAAGGCATTATTATCGCAGGAAATGACAGCTCCATACATGCCATTGTCCCTGAAGACATTCTAGAGCAACAAGACCTGGAGATGGAACACCCCATGAATGTGTGTAGGCCTACGCTAATGGATGCATTTTTATCTCAGCGTTTAACAAAAACAGTTTTCAAAGTAAACAGAAAAATGAAAAACTTTGAAAGTAAAGCCTTCAGCATAAGTTTATGAAGAAAATATTTTTGTATAGCTGTACAATGCATATTTGTTTTAAGTGCTATCACAAAAGAATTAAAAAATTTAAAAACATTAAAAGCTTTAAAGTAAAAAAGTTATAGTAATATTAATGTATTATTGAAGGAAGAAAACTATTTTTTATAAATTTAGTGTAGCCTAAATATAGTGTTTATAACATCTACAGTAGTGTACAGTAGTGTCCTAGGCCTTCACATTCACTCACCACTCACTCACTGACTCACTCATAGCAACTTCCAGTCCTATAAGCTCCATACATGCTAAGTGTCCTATACAGATGTACCGTTTTTTAAATCTTTAACCATCTTTTCTATACTTAGATATGTGTAGATACACAAATACTTAATATGGTGTTACTATTTCCTTACACTTTTCAGAACAGTAACATGCCGTACTGATCTGTAGCCTAGGAGCAACAGGCCATACCCTATAGCTTAGGCGTGTAGTAGGCTATACCATCTAAGTTTGTATAAGCATACTCTATGATGTTCGCACAATGATGACATCACCTAACAACACATTTCTCAGAACATGTCTTCATCTTTAAATTAAACATGACTTCCAGAATGATCTTTGTTATTTCCTAAACCAAATATCTTCTTTCTTGAAAGCATGTTGATATGGTTTTGTTCTGTGTCCCCACCCAGATTACAATTCTCATTTTGAATTGTAATCCCCATAATCCCCACGTGTCAAGGGAAGAAACTTGTGGGAGATGGTTGGATCATGGGAGCAGTTTCCCCTATGCTCTTATTGTAACAGTGAGGGAGTTCTCAGGATATATGATGGTTTTATAAGGGCTTGACCGTTCCTCCTTTGCACGCTCTCTTGCTCCTGCTGCCATGTAAGACAAGTTTGCTTCCCCTTCTGCCATGATTGTTAAGTTTCCTGAGGCCTCCCTGGCCCTGCAGAACTGTGCGTCAATTAAATCTCTTCTCTTTGCAAATTACCCAGTCTTGGGCAGTTCTTTATAGCAATGTGAAAATAGGCTAATACACATGTTGAAGAAAAGACAAGACAGAGATGAGAAAGGAAAGAAAATGAGAGCAAGTACTCTGCCTGTTTTTCTATCAGCATCTGGCTTATTTGGTGACTAGGAAAAATATAGATGGAACAGTACTAGATAAATATAGATTTAAAATTATAGCTTTTTTTCCTCTCTTCAGTAATTCTGTTGTTTGCAGTCTACCTCCTTTGTTCTTTTCCTTCTCCTTTGTCTTTAAATGTTTTCAATTGTCTTTACAATATACACATCCCCCTGGCAATCTATACATTCCTAAAAGTTCAATCACTACCCATCTACACCAGGAGTTTGCAAACATTTTATAAAGAGAGCCAGATAGGAAGTACTGTTTGCTGTGTGGGCCTTATAGTCTCTGTCATAACAAAGGTATTTGTACTCTGCTCTGTCATTTAGAAAATGCTCCCACAGATCATATGTAAACAAATGAGTGTGGCTGTGTTCCAAAAAAGCTTATTTACATAACACTTGCAAGGATGGATTTGGCCTGCTGGTCATAGTTTGTCAATATCTGAGCTATACTAATAACTCAGAAAGTTTTATCTTTAGTCTAGAGCCTTCTATTCTTACACTTTCTTTCTGACTCAAAGCTGTTTCTTCCTTGATGTCTCACTGACCCTTCAAACCTCATTCACTGTGTTCCCCAGCAAATCCTGCTTCCGTGTTCTATATTTCAGGGTTTGGCACTACTTTCACTTCCATCTCCCAAGCCAGAGACTTGGAAATTTTCACTAACCATTTTCTTCCTTGTCCCTCTTTAAATACTTTTGTCAAATTTGCCATCTAAATATAATCTTAACTTTCCTCTCACATAATGTCTTCACACCTGATCGTTTAACGCAGTAAAGAAGGATCATTTCTTTCAGTTTTGCCTTCCTTCCAGCTATTACAAGTGTGCTCTTTGTAAAGTGTAAACATGATCATGTTCTGCACCTGTGCAAATCTTTTGGGGCTCTCCAAAGCCTGATACATTGATCCTAAACCAGATTCCAGGGCCTAATTTTAGACCTCCTTAATGAGAAACCCTGGGGATAATATATAATTATTTAAATGATAATTCCCCTGCAGGATGGTACTGGTAAACCTGATGCTAACTTATCTTTATATGAAATCTACATTCTTGGATATGTCCCGAAAAAACCTTCATGATTTAGTACTGGTATACTTTGTAAACCTTCATGATTTAGTACTGGTATACTTTGTAAACCTTCATGATTTAGTACTGGTATACTTTGTAAACCTTCATGATTTAGTACTGGTATACTTTGTAAACCTCAGCTCTTTTCCCCAGCCTCTTATGCACATGCAAATGTTTTTGATGATCCATACCTACCCCATTGATCTCTTTACTTCTAGGGACATATTGGCTATAATGGCTATAGGCATACTGTCATTCCAACAGCCAGCACCTATATACTTCTTTGTTAGAGAAGTGTCCTTAGGCTGCTGAGACAGCTCTGTCTGCTCACACAAATACCTGAGAATTATGTCCCCTAGGAGCCACCATTAACCAATGATTGCAGGAGAGAAAGAATAGATATATTTACCAGCTGACTGTCTCCTGATTGAGATAACTCTTACAATGTGACCTAGACTGTGTTCAAAACTACCAAGTGGGATTGAGCCAAAGTTATTTGCCATGGGGATTTACATGACATCCTGCTCTTGTTCGACCTCTGTGATGGCTAATTTCACGTGTGAACTTGACTAGACCACTCTTCCCAGATATTTGGTCAAAGACAAGTATGGATGTTGCTGTGAAAGCAGTGTTTTAGATGTGATGAATGTTAAAATCAGTGACTCTGAGGTTATCTTTCATAAAATAGATAGGCCTCATTTAATCAGTTGTAGGCCTTAAGAGAAAAAGACTGAGGTCTCCTGGAAAGAGGGAATTCTGCCAGACTCCCTTCACACTCAAGCTTCAGCATCAGCTCTTCCCCCGGTCTCCAGCCTGCCAGCCTAGCCTGCAGATTTTGGAATTACTTTATGTGACTGCATACAATCCTGTGGATAACGCTGACAAATATAGCCTCCTTATTTTCTCTTTTTTTCCATGTCCCCACTCCTGTACCAGGTTTTCTTGGAAACACTTCTTCTGAAAAGTCCCCACTGAGTAGACTAAGAACCACAGATTTAGTGAAGAGATTAAAAAGAAAAAGCTAAGATATCTATATGTTTCATATAGATCGGTTTGATAGGAATCAAAGGGTCAGATTTCAGGGCACTGAATGTAAGATCACATTCTATACCTTATTCACACACACACACACGCACACACGTCTTTACCAAATGCACTCTTAAGCCTCCACACCCTTATCTATCCTATTCCCGCTTCCCCTTCTCTGCTCCACACCTACCAAAAATATTCTATTAATTATTTAAGACCTGCCTGATAGATCTCAACTTCTAGAAGACATTTTCAGAATTCTCAAGGAAGTTTGAATTACCTGTCTTTTTCTCTTACCACGCTTAGGGTTCATTAAGGCAGAGATTTTTTGAGTCCAAATTTAAAGTATAGTCACCTAGCTGAGTACCTGACACACAGTCAGCACTGAACAACTTTGTCCTGGATAAGCATTAGAAAATGAAATCATAATCCTATAGTATAAAAAAGAGTAAGTTTTGGCCGGGGACGGTGGCTCATACCTGTAATCCCAGCACTTTTGGGAGGCCGAGGCGAGCAGATCACTAGGTCAGGCATTTGAGACCAGCCTGGTCAACACGGTGAAACCTCATCTCTACTAAAAATACAAACATTAGGCGGGTGTGGTGGTGCATACCTGCAATCCCAGCTACTCAGGAGGCTGAGGCAGGAGAATTGCTTGAATCCAGGAGGCGGAGGTTTCAGTGAACTGAGATTGTGCTCCAGCCTGGGCAACAGAGCAAGACTCCATCTAAAAAAAAAAAAAAAAGAGTAACTTTTAATATTCCTTTGCCTCACAAATCAATATTGTGTCTGAAAAATATTTCTAAACAAGTATTTCAATAAACAAATAAGTTCAAATTATTATGAGAGTATAGATATGTAACAACCAAAGGAACTCCAAATAGTTCTGCCAGTTAATTTTGCAAACAAAAATGAGAAAGCATTTTTTAAAAATGAAACTTATTTTAAAACCTTATAAGGTAGAGTCTTAGAAAAAGCAAGGGACTACAATTTCAACAGTAACTATAAACCACAGACCCTGCCCACCACCCTCTATCTCCCAGTATATTTTCATTAACTAAGTAAAGACTTTTAGGAAGGACCTTTTGCAAACAGTTCTTTGAAAAGATATTGCCAAGGAGGAGGAGTCATTGATAAAAGAATCAAGAAACTCTATTTTAAAAGCAGCTAGGTATTATGTGTATAAGTTAACAGCTTTAGAAAGAAGGAAACTCATTTTACCACATATCCACATATTTCATTACCAGAGAAGTCATTTTTTTTTTACCGCTTTGCACATATACCTAGTACTATTAGGTATCTATACATATATGTACTTACAAATATATAAAATCTTATATATATTTTATATTTATATATATACGCATATAAACTTAGGTGTTGAACTCACCAATATTCATACAGAGTCTAATGATTTTTTTTATTTAAAATATGTGTAGAGAGTTTGGGTTCAGAAAAAGGAGATAGTATTAGAACCTACCACATACAGTTATTAAGAATTAAATAAAATTTAATCTAATTTATTGGCATGTGGATTCTTGATCAATATTACTTATTATTATGGTCTTATGCCCTTTATAAGACAAATGTTTCCTTGTTTTATCGTCACCAGAATTGTCACATTTGTTTTAATCACAGATGTTTTGTAAAGGTCATATGCCATGCTGACCAGGTCATCTTTCAATCTTGTTGAAACATGTGAATCAAGCTTTTAGGATGTAGATTAATAATGCTTTGCTGTCAACAACCTAGAGAGAGATCATGATGGCCTATTTCGATTTGTGATTTTGTTCAAAAATTTGCTTTTTTTGAAATTATTTCATTTACACAACTACTTTTAATTATTCTTTTTATAAATATCTGGTTTAATACTGCTCAAAAACAACTCTAAAAGGTAAATTTTGGTTAAGTTTATTAAAGAACAATATTTCAATGTGACTTGATCAAAGAAAATCAGTTATATTAAGTCCTTAGTTTGATTCATCTAATCTATTATTTACAAAAATATTTATATTTTCACAAAATATAAAAGCTAACCCAATTCATTTACAGTATCATATGACTATAATTTCATTTATAATCAGTAGATACCTCAATGATTTTCCTGATTTTAGATACTACTCTGATATTCCTATCCTACATAGCAGTATTTTAAAATGACTAATGAATAACCAGTTGATCTTTCCATCACACGATTATATAAATAACATTTTGTATTTGCATCTTCAAAAAAAAGTAATCTTCCAATGATCAGTTTTGGATAGTTTATTTACTAATGAGCTATGGTTGATTCAAAAGGCCTTGGTAAGGCTCATCTTAGAAGGGATAGCTTGTGCTACATAAACAGATGAGTAACAAAAAGCATTTCATATAGTTAAGGCCACTAAGTGGCTCCACACCTTAATGGCTTTAAACTCCATGAATTTCTGAAATGTCTGCTACACTTCATATGTATCGCTTCTCTATTAATGTAGGATAAACTGTTTCCTTGATAGCTGAACATAGCTATAGCAAATATTTGAGTGGTTAATTATTGCAAAGTAGGAACAAAATTGAAAATCCCAGAGAAAAGGTGTATTATTTGATCAAGACTAGAAAGTGCTTCTTTTAAAGTGTTCCAATGCAAATCTTAAAACTGGGATATTAATCTTCATTCAAGTTTATTAACAAAGTAAATTGCTATAGTAGTATATATAGAATAAAAATATGAGGCTGGGGGTGCAATATTTTGTTATCGCAAGTGAATAAGTTAAAATACTTGAATAAGTTATTTTGGGTTTGAAATAGTTGCAGTTTAATACTGCTGTTTCATTAGTTTGTAACAGCGTGCATTTTTTTCCTTAATGTAAATGACAAATGACAGACAAACTTCTACTTCATAAATTTCTTATTAAGTTGTTGGTGTTTGGGAGGTTAAAATATTTTTTCTATTTGCAAAATAGAGCATGTGGAAAATTTTCACACTATGATATGGAATTCTAAGGACTCTTTCAAATAGAGCAGCAACAAGTGAAAGACAATACATATTATTCAACTTTTATTAAGTAATGTGACCTATGCTCTTAATGTGGAAAGGTAACACTCTTTTACTGTTTCCAATGCTTGTAACATGTGATGTCATCTAAATAACCTGGAAGAAATAGAATATTATGACTAGTTGCAATAATATGAAAATATAACATTTTTTAATGTTCATAAATTTACAAAATTTTAAAAATCGTATTTTAAAACACTAGGTATAAAATAGAACAAGAATTAAAATAATGATAGAAAGTTTCTGACATTTTAAAAGGAAAAACTTTCTATACCAAAGTTAACACTTTTAATGCAGAAGAATTAGCCTTAATCATACTTTTCAGTCAGAAGTCAGCTTTTTTTATTCCTAGGCCACTAAAACATATTCAACGGCCTGAATACCACACACCATGATAATGTATTAGACATGCAATTGACTTATTTAAAGATGATAGCATGTTAAGTGTGAAGAATAGAAATATTTTTAAATAATTGAGTTTTTTTTCATTGAAATGACGCAAGAGCATCAAAGATAATGACCAAGCACATCCAAAGAAACGTAGGTGCTTTCAAATCAACAGGACAGTTTAAAGGATGGGGAGAGAACTCAAGGATTTGCTCAGTATAGGAATTTGATGTGAGAGCCAAGGTTAGACTGAAACAGACAAAAAAGAGAATTAACATTTACGATGAATTTACTCTGTTGTGCTTCCTCTACTAGACAATTTACAAGACCACATAGTATCATGAAAACAACTCTGGGAAGAAGTTTTACATTTGAGAAATCTGTAATACAGTTAAATTTTAAAATAATAATGATAAAACTCACACAACAAGTGAGGGTGATGACCACCACCTTCAGATTCCATAGCCTTGCTCTGTACCACCATCCATTCCACCTCTGGTATCATTGACAAGCTCAGGAGAGATTATCCAGAACTTGTTGAGTAAAACACTGTAGGCACAGCCAGGATTGCGAGCAGGCACTGAGCTTCATCAGAATTGAGTCTTCCACGAGTAATTTTGGATTGTGCTGAGTAAACCACCTCTACTGATGACGAGCTGGGCTATCATCTTTAGTTAACAAGTTTCTTATCTCTATCAAGACCATGAGCTACTAGAGGAGGTAGATGACGTAAAGGTGATGATGATCTCAAACTATGACTGCATGAGTGAATAAGCATGAAACATTTTGCTGATATATTATCTCTGCTATTAACACACTAAATGGTTTTAGAGAAATCAACCCACCATTCTGGTCTTCAATTAATCTCTGAAATGCAAGGGTTGACTATAATAACTTTTTGCTGTTTATTTATTATTGTTGTTCTTTGTTTCTTCCTATCCAACTAATCTGTGTTTGTCTGTCATGCTACATGCTCTGAAATGTTAGCCTAAACTCTCTTTTACGTGGTATTACCAAAAATTAAGATGCCAACTATAATTTTTTTAGAGAATGTAAGTCTTTTTCTATTCAGAATATTTTAAATTTTATAAAGTAAATGATTAAAGGATGGACCAAACTACTTTAGCTTTTTAACACAAAATTTTAACAGATTCTTAGGGTATCATTGTCATTACTTCAAATAATTTTAAAGCAAGCAAGATGCTTAGGCATCCAAGGCTATTGCTGCTATTCTGAATTAGCCCACGCTACAAATGATTTGATGTTTCCCCCACTGTGTTTTCTTCCCCCTCCTTACCTCTCACTTCGTAATTTCCTTCTTGGAAATCATAACATACTTATGTTTCTTATATCTTATCTGCTGGGACCTAACCTAAGAAGAAAATAAGAAACTGAGCAAAAAGTTAATTGCACACATAGACTAAAGACCACTCTCAAGCCTTAGTGTGACTCCATAATGTTTTTATCTTTACATTTAAATCTTTTTTATTTAATTCCATTTTTTCTATGAATCTCAATTTCTTTATTTCTGTCTGTTAGATAGAAAATATACTAATACTGAATTTTCTGTCTCAGAAATATATTAGCTGAGACAATATAAGTGGTGTCTTGGGGAAACTGAGGAATAGTTTAAATAATAAAGTTTGTATCTTCTTATGATAAACAAAATTATCTTCTTTATATATGATACCACCTAGTTAAGTTTAGTCACTGCATATATTTCCACATGTTTTCTCACTATTTGTTGACACTTATTTTATAAATTTTTTCTTCTTAGTAGAGACTCTAATCCATTTTTAAGTCTAGGTCTTTAAAGACTTGTCCAAGATTCTTGAGAATCATGTACCATAATATGCTCAACTTGATTTAATAATTTACTTCTTACTAAATTTCAATAGGATATTTTTAGTAATACCACAGTGGCCATACAAAATGAGTATATTTCTAAACATAATAATAACATGCATTTAGGTTGCACTTTATAATGTCCTGTAAACTTCATTACAGATTGTCTTATTTCTTAAAATGTTAAACTTATATCTTCTCCTTTTCCTGGGAAGAAGATATTATATATTCATACAAACACTTTTACATGAATGTTCTCAGCTCTTCCTGTAATCACCAAATATTAGAAAGAGCTCAATGTCCGTCATCAAGGGTATGAATAAATAAAATGTAGTATATCTAAACAGTGGAATACTGCTTAGCAATATGAATAAATGAACCATGAATACACGCTACAATATGGGCGAGTCTCAAATAATTACGCTGAATCAAAGAAGTCAGGCAAAAGCGTGTGCGTGCTCCCTGATTTTATTTCTATAAGGTACTGGAAAATGCAGACTAATTTATGGTTTACAGGAAGCAAATCAGTGGTAACCCAGGGTACAGTGAACAGGCACATCAATGGAAAGACTATGGAAGAGAACAAGGAAAACACTGTTGTCATCCATATTCACTACTATGGCTGTAGTGATGGTTTCACAGGTATATACATATATGGAAATTTATCAGATTGTACACCTTAAGTATGTACAGTTTGTTATATATCAAATATACCTCAATAAAAGCTGTTAAAAATTTTGTCTCATTTCAATCTCAATATCATTTTGTGAAATAGTATTTTCTAATTTTACAGTTATTAAAACTGTGGTTTAGAGAGGTTATATTAAATTGCACCTTAAAAATCTGTTATACAGAATTTTAAATATAGGTTTATCTCAGTTGTATACTCTTTCACTCTCAATATTTTCCCTTTAGAAGACTATGATTGATTTAGTACAACTATTATCATATACAAAACTATGGACTACAAAATCTGAACAAGTGTTATATAACATCTATTCACTGTTTAAATATAATCTTCAATCTTTCTGATAAAAAAAGAAAACCCCATTCTTACATTTGCATGCTAAAACTTTATGGTTTAATATTATATCTAATAATAAACTTAATAAACTTACCAGTTTAATATCACATACAGTACCACAAAGATGAAAGGGGAAGCATTGAAAAGTTATGCATAATAGCACTGAGACTTCAAGTGAACATCAGCCAGTAATCAGAATCTTAAATGTCCACTACCAATTAAAAAAAAATGAGACTTCCATGAGAGACTCAGTTAATGTGCTACACACCCTCTATAACAGAGAAAACCTTCTAACTTAGAAATCAAGGTAATAAAAAGTAAGAGATTTTACTTTCCTCCTGATTCTTTCAAGACCCAAGGTAGGCTTTTCTATCTATAATGATGAGAACTTTTTTTTATTCTTTTTTTATTATTATACTTTAAGTTCTAGGGTACATGTGCACAACACGCAGGTTAGTTACATATGTATGCATGTGCCATGTTGGTGTGCTGCACCCATTAACTCGTCATTTAACATTAGGTCTATCTCCTAATGCTATCCCTCCCGCCCGGCCCCCACCCCACAACAGTCCCAGGTGTGTGATGTTTCCCTTCCTGTGTCCATGTGTTCTCATTGTTCAATTCCCACTTAGGAGTGAGAACGTGCGGTGTTTGGGTTTTTGTCCTTGCGATAGTTTGCTGAGAATGATGGTTGCCAGCTTCATCCATGTCCCTACAAAGGACATGATTTTTCACAGAAGTCTGACTCTATAGTCCTTCCCTCAAAATAAGTTAAATTTTATTCTACATAAATCCAGGGAAAGGCTGATTCTGATGATTTAGGCAGGCAGGGAAATACAGGTGACGATACTTAGAAAGACACAGTTTACTTGTGTAAACTGATATACATGGTGTAATATGACTGGTAGAAGTACATTACAAGGACTCTAATTTTCAAATAGTGCCTTGGTTTAGAGCTTCAAAAAACATGAAGATGGCTTAGGAGACATTTCCATCTAAGTTAAGCAGAGCATTTAATAAATTCTACTAGTTAACAGTAATTACTGGAGGTATCATTAATGATTCCTAAATGATAATGATGCCTAATGATACTTTCTCAGTTGTATATCCGAGAAAAACATTTCACAGCACTCAAATGAACATTAAATCAACACAAGTTTACAAATCAACTTTGTTGTCAAATTTTGCCTTGGATTTGATAAATTTCTCATTATTGAAGTATGAATATATAGGAAGGAAGGTAATGAGTCCGGAATAAAGCTATTTCAACATTCAAAGATGAAGTGAACATTATTTTGTGGACTCAGAGAAGGAATAACAAACTCTGAAAATAATTTATTTCTGTAATGAGAGGGGAAAAACCTAAAAATGGTTAAATGCGTTTAAAATAGTACAAGTAGAGATACTTTCCATGAAATGTGTGCAGAAATCTCCAGGAAGAAAACAAGGTGAAATGAAAGACAGCAGGATATAATACAGATAAATGAGAAAAGCTAAAATTTTCTGAGTGATGGAAAGAAAAATTGCCAGGAGGCTAAAAGTTAAACAGCAAAATCAAAGTTCACACTTTTGGGCTTGAAAGCTAGCAATGAGCATTAAAATAGATTTACTAAATAAATGAATAAAAATTTTAGAATATGTACCTCAAAGGCAAAGTGATAAAAATGACAAAAGAAAATGTAATAGATATAGAATATGAGGTAAACATTAAAACTCAAAATTAAAGATGATTAGAAGAAAAATTAAAACATTGAAAGAGGAAAAAATACTAAGACAGATCTAAAGAAAATTGCACTGACTGTTGGGGATGGTAGAGTTAAGCTGTTTCAGATAGTATTAATGAAAGAAGAATGACAGGCAAATCTAATTATCTCATCTACAATTTGAGAAATATAATAATAAAGTAAAAATATATGCAAATAACTTGTTAGAAAAAGAAAAGAAATAGCTATCTACAAATGCAGACTCCAACCAGTTCATGTTTGTCCACTGCAAGATTAAGTGGAAAAGATACAGGAACAATGTTTAGAGTTTTCAGAGGAAATTTTGTGGATGTCGACATTTTGTGCCCTGCTAAATCATTTTAATTAGTGAGGAAAACAAAAAGATAATTTCATGTAACAGTTATCCTAAAAATATATAGAATGATATTTTTAGAAATATGTTGCATACAATAAGTCTAACTAAAACTAAAAGGGGCAGTCTGTAAAGATAGAGATGTCTAAATAATAACTGCATACATAGTTATGAAAATCAAAACAAATATCAAAAATCATTCTTTAACAAAGACCAGGTATACAATCTAACATAAGAGAAAAAAATATAGCCTTAATAAGGACACTGTTTGAAAGTTAAGGAATAAGGCAGAGGATATACTAAAACATTATTTTTTAAAGTAGTGAATAATATGATCAAGGGCTGAAAAAGTGTAAAATTCTGAACAATAAACTGCTTTTACCAATTGCAGTCAAATTTCCCAACAACCGATATTAATATTGTAGTTTTAAAGATCAAACTAGTCAAGATATCAGACATATTCCTAAGATACAAGATTTAAGCTATTGAATTCTTAGCAGTGGTCTTTACTGCTTCACCATTCTTTGCTTCAAATATCGTAAGGGAGGATTCTCTCTGCATAATGGCAGCTGCCTACGACTGAATCTCTTCATACATCCTTTACGCAGATCTATGAGAATAAGTAAAACCACTCACAACCCATACATACAGTACAACTAAGAGATAGAGAATTCTTCAAACTTCTAAGTATACATCAGTTGAAAAATAACTATCCAAACCAACAGAGCTATCTCCAGATCTGCCTGAGCTGAAAGTTAGGAGACATTTATTGGAAAAGATGAGGGGGTAGTGGGGGACTATAGAGACAGAACACAGATAGAATCATCCACAGAAAGTGAAAGCTCTACACAAGGGGGTAAATATTGAAAACAGGTGTCAGATGTGTTGGACATGGGTAAAATGGACCTAACAACCAACAGGCAAACTGTGCACTGGGAAAAAGTTTTGCAACAAATATTGAGGAAAAATATTTAACGTTACTATGTTCACAATCAAAAAATAAAAAACATGAAAGAGAAATGGTGAGCTGATATTAAATCATATTCTCCAAGAATGAGAATTGCAAATAACTGATAATCTTATAAAAATAGCTAACTTCACTAGTAATCTAAGAAATATATATTTATTAAAAAACTATAATTTATAATTAATAAAATGAAAAATATTAAGAAGACCATACTCAATATTGTCAGTGGTGGGTTTATAAATATTACCAGAAACTATAATGCAGCATATATGACTTTAAATTATTTAATGACTTTATTAAATGACTTCAAATATTCATTATTTGTGGCCAAGTAATTCTAATTCACAGAAATTTATTCCAGGGAATAATCTCAGGGATTGGTTTACAGGTATTTTTTAAAAGTTATATATTGTAATTTTAGATTATGGATAAAATAAAAATGATATAAGGAAATAAAAATAGTGTTAAATCTTAGAGATAAAATTTGGTATAGGGACTTAAATAATGGTTTAACAAGTTATTTTAGTTTTATGAGTAAATGCTAACAATGTGCCAGTTGAAAAATGTGGTATTCAAGCAATAACAAATTCCTAATCATCTCTTACTGCTTTGCTCCAGTGGGGAATATTAACTTCTGGTGTTTTAAAACCAATTAAAAAACAGTGAGACCCTTTCCTCTACGGAGAGGCAGACAATTATTTGACTGTACAACTACCTGAAGGCATACTTACATAGAGGTTTTCACTTCAGATTTTCAAATTACATTGTTTGTACTCGGGTGAAAATAAATGTTGTGTTGAAATGATCACAGATGCATTTTTAATAAATGTGAGAAATTAGGTACAATATATTTACAATTTTAAAACATTAAATCAATGCTTCCTTGGAGTTTTCTGAATGAAACTTAATTCCCCTAAGTACGCTAAATGTAAAAGAGCTTCAAGAATTTGTCTGAAAAGGCCAAGATTGAAATAATAGGAAATTAACTGTTCTCTAAGACTAGAACAGTAAGGAGCTTTATTACTATGTTTAGCAAGACATTACATTACCAAGGTATTTAAGGAACATTTTCTTAACAACACATTTTTTTAAAGTAACTTTTCTTTAGAACTGACAAAAGAAAGAATTATAATAATTATTTAGTCACAAGACAATTTGTAAATGTTACATTTGATTGTATCATGACAGACTCTGTGTGGTTTGATGCCACAATGAACTCGCTCTTTACCATTGCATAAGGAATATCATTTCACATTGAAACTGGGCAGGGATTGTTAGAGTTCACATTTCACTAACATGAGTTGAAAATCTAATTGACATTTTGCTGGATTGCATCTATACAGCACTCCACTGTAAATGGCAACTTCACAAACTGTCTCCTACAGTGATCATTTAAATTGAGATATCTCAGGGGCCATGTTGTTCACCCAGCACAGCATCTTCTGTTTGTCTAAATTTATTGTTCATTGCCACAGTTAAAAACTCATTACAAAATTACATTTTTGTTAGGCTTTAGACAATAGTAGATGTGTTGGGAAAGGGAAACTATTAAATTTTATTTTGAAAGAAAACTACTGCCAAAGTGTAAATATACAAGAAGGAAATCACAAGAGTAAAATATTAATAATTTTATCCTAGAAGTTAAGAATCTATGGTGGCAAAATCAGTTAAAAATAAAATGTAAATCTTCCTGCTGTTTACCCTCATTATCCACTGATTAAACTGAAAGGGATAAAAATATTGAGCTGTTGTTTGCCTAAAACAAGGGAAGTATGAGCATGTTATGATGTTTACTAAGATAATAAATAAGTCAACTAGGACTAGATATTAAAATTAATTACAAAATAATCACATTGGGTACAAATGCTTAAAATGGTATGGTTTAGTATGTGCATAGCAAAAATAAAAAGTTGCATATTTTGTTGTTTTTATAAAATAATAGTGTATCAAGCTCTGGTTCTTGATCTTTTTTATACTAGTTAGATATAAACTTACACTGGATTTTTTGATACTCTATGTAAGGGAAAGATAATGAAATTTTCTTTGTCAGATAAAGGGGGAAAAGTCCCCTGACTCTCCTCCTCTTAGAGTGTTTCCTTGAAAATACCATAGGCCTGATAAGAAGCCCAACCTCTTGATTTTACAATGGAAGATCAAAAACCTTATTTCTGACCCTTGAAACTGTGAGTACATACCTACAAAAATTAACTCAGGAATTGCTCATGAGATATACAAGTTTCTATCAGAAGGTGCATCCATTTGTCTCTCAAAGAAATAGGAGAAGTTTTATTTGCTTTTATCTTCTACTTTTCTCTTTGTTTACTGTTTATGAAATGTTTTTATTTTTTTCAGCCTTATTAAGGTACATTTGACAAAATTACATATATTTAGGATGTACAATGTGATGCTCTGGTGCACATATATACTGTGTGGAATTATTACCACAGTCAATTTAGTTAACACATCCATCACCTTTCATAGTTACACATCCGTGCGTGTGTGTGTGTGTGTGTGTGTGTGTGTGTGTGTGTGTGTGTGTGTATGGTGAGAACATTTAAGATGAAGATTGTTTAAAATGTAAAACTTTAGAAAAGATAAATTAAAATGAAGTCATTTTTAAAGTGCTCTCTTGTATGCCTATTTAAACAGTTTCAGTCATTTAGGATGGTTATCAGGGGGTAATAGTCACATTTTAATCTATGTAAATCACCACCCAATATCCCCCTCATTCCCCAACTGAAATCTAGATCCATTTACGTCAAGTACCACATTCCCCTTGGACTTTATCAATACAGGTAGATCCACTCTCATTGAATCATTTTAGAGGTTCTAACTCAGCTCAGTGAGAAAATTATTTCATCTTTATCATAAATTATCATATTTTGAAGATAATATTTTCCCTGTAGACAATCCTCCATAGAAATAGCATAGGCCCAGCCGGGCATGATGGCTTACGCATGTAATCCCAGCACTTTAGGAGGCCAAGGAAGGTGGATCACGAGGTCAGGAGATTGAGACCATCCTGGCCAACATGATAAAACCCTGTCTTTACTAAAATGCAAAAAATTAGCCGGGCGTGGTGGAGCGTGCCTGTAGTCCCAGCTACTTGGGAGGCTGAGGTAAGGGAATTGCTTGAACCCAGGAGGCAGAGGTTGCAGTGAGCCGAGATCATGCCAGTGCACTCTAGCCTGGAGACAGAGACAGACTCCATCTCAAAAAAAAAAAAAGAAATAGCATAGGCCCACGACTTAACCATTAGAACAACTAAAATTAAAAAGACTAACAACTTCAAATATTGTTGAGGAAGTAAAGCAATTGCAATTCTCATGTACTGATGACAGAAGTATAAAATGGTTAAGCCACATGACAAAAGCTTCTAGAATTTTCTTATAAAACTTAATATATACTTATCTTCTAACCTTCTGACCCAGTAATTTTACAATTCTTTTCCTAGTATTTTCCCAAGAACAACAAAAAAGTGTGTGTGTGTGTACATATATATATGTATATATGTGTGTGAATGCTGCATATATCAACAAATGACTTGTACAAGAATGTTCATAGCAACTTTATTCATAATTGTCCAAAACAGAAAAAAATTCTGATGTTTATTAAGTATGGATAACATATTTCTACAAATGACAGATACATGCAACAGCACAGATGAAATGTGAAAAAAAAACCCTATGCTGAGTAAAAGAAACAGTCACAAAAAAGTACGTATTTCATGATATCATTTACATGAAATTCTAGAACAGTGAAAACTATGATGAGAAGACTGAGAATAGTAGTTGCTAGATAGGGAGGATTAAGGGCATAATAGAACTTGCTGGGGTAAAATTTCTACATCTCAATATGAATTGTGGTTACAAAGATTATATTTTTGAAAATACTCACTGAATGGTACATTTCATATTTATACATTTCATTGTATGTGAATTCTACCTCAAAAAACCCCAATTGACTATAATCAAATACTGAACTCTAATGATATTCTTGAGGATGTGCCTGCTAGTCAGGTATGCTGAGGTCAGAGACTTATTTTGAAGGCAGAAAAAAGATGAATTTATTGTTTGATAGAAGGATATATGGATGCATAGGTATTTGATAAAAATATAAATGTATATATTATGGAATCTAAGTGATGAGTATTGAATGTTTAGTGTATAATTCTTTTAATATTTTTTAATACTTCAATGTTGTCATAATAAATAATGAAGTAATAGAGGGATGTCTAAAATCCTAATAGGCATAAAATCAGTTGTGACTATCAGCACATTAATTATTTGTTGGGTGGGTAATCAATGGCAAAATTTTGGTATGAAGCTATTGAAGCATTTTGCTGATTTTTGTCCCTCCATATCCTTTGTCTCCTCATTCTTTTCTTTAACTTTGGCACATTTCTCAATATCCCCTGCAAATAAGTACAGAAACATTATTAGGTTTGGATTAATGATATGGGGGTGGAAATAAAAAATGTCACTTTGGACTTGTAACACTCCAGTGCATTTCTCTAGCTTCTGTTTCTCTTTATTTTGAGCTAGAATGCAGATGGAATGCAATGACCCATGTTCAATCACGCAGACTCAGACAGCAACCTAGAAAAGAGGCTTGCAACCTATGGTCTGCAATCCAGTGATCCAGTGCCTGTTTTGTGAATTAAATGTCTTTGGAACACAGATGCACCCTTTGTTTACATATTTTCTATGGCTTTTACACTACAATGGCAGAGCTGAATGGTTGAGTCGGACATAATATGGTCCTAAAGCCTAAAAGTTCTCCTATGAGGCTCTTTACCAAAAACAAATGAAAAACAACAACAACAACAACAAAAACAACAGTGCTAACCCTTTCTCTAGAACAAGTAGATCCCCAAATGAGCTCAAACAATAAAAAATAAAAAATAAAAAATAAAAAAAAGCATGGCACCAGATAAGAATGGCCAGACTTTTTAAAAAATAAATTTCTACCAATTTAGCTGCTGGTTTTTATTTGTTCTTTTGTTGTTATGATACTTTTTTTGTTGATCTTTTTTGCTCTTTTTATGTGGAATTAACAAACAAGTATTTTAACAGATATGAGTAATATTGTTTCCAGTTTCTTATTGTTTTATTGTGTTTTATTGTTTCAATGTCATCTGTTTTGTTGTCAGTACATAAGCTAATTTTAACATCTTCTTATTAAAAAATAAACTACTTGCTCCCAGAAAGCAGTATTTCCTGGTATTTGGCATTTTGAAGCTGAAAAATAATGACTTTGATCATTCAGATTGTTTCTCTGTTTTAGTGCCACTCATTGGCTTTTGGCATTTCAAAGAAAAACTTTAGAACTCTTCTTCATAATCCAAAGAGGCAGTCTTTCCCAATTAATTTTTAAACTAGTTTTCATCAATGACATTACATTTCAGTGCTTACCTGTTCTGAGGGAGCACCAGATAATGGCTCTGAAGAGCTGTTTCAGAATACATTTTTTCTCTCTTTTATGCAAGAACTGTGCCAATAGTTTTGCCTAGAGAAAATTATCTGGTTTTTTTTACATCCTAAAGACTGATTTAACAGACATCAACACTGCTATAAACAGAGACAAGATGCCCTACTAGAGAAAGCTGTAGACTTAGAGTCTGAACATCCATAGTGAAGTCCAGGTCTGGCATTTATACCAGAAGACTTTCTTACATGACCCTTCTCTGATCTCAGAGCTCTGATGTACCTAAGAAGGAGTCAGGTTACCAGATGATCTCCAGAGTCTCCGCCAGCTTTAAAATCTCCATGACTTAAAATTGCTTAGTAAAGGTCAGTGGGTAAAGGCCATATATAATCATTTAATATCACACCTCTGTATATTTTATCATTTTTCTCTGTATGTTTTATACAGTTTCTTAAAAGAAAACTTACTCAACAGGTCAATTTTAAAGCAAAAGAGCAGTTAATTTTGTACTGCCCTTCATACTTTATTCATCCTCATACTATCATCTTTTCCTATCCACAGCAATTAGCAATGAGTAGAGCATCATTAGACTTCAACAAATATTTAGTCCAACCTTGCACCCTAAACTGTATTATTCACACAACAACCAGAGTCATTCTTTAAAAATATAAAGTTATATCAAACCATTCCTCTACTTAGAATCTACACAGATGTCCCATTTAGAATAATAGCTAATGTGCTTACAATGTGACTATAGTGTAGTCTACAAGGCCATAGAAAATCTCTCCCCACCTACTCTCTCCCTCATTCATTCTGCTCCAGTTTAATCCTCCTGGCACATCATTGCCTTGGGTGCCTTGTACCAGTTGTTCCCCTAGAAATCTACATGGCTAACTTCACTTCCTTCAATGTTTTGCTCAATCTTCACCTATCCTCAACAACTTAGTTTAAATTTTAGCTTCTACCCGACACCCCTGTCAGGTTCCCAATCCTGACCACCCTTCTCTGGGTCTTTCTGCCATAGCAGTCATCACCTTGTAATATCCTACATATATACTTATTTTTGTGTTGTTTATTACCTGCCTTTCCCCACTAGAATATAAGCTTCATAAAAGCAGGAAATTTTGTCAGTTTAGTTCGTTGAGGTATTTCAGGCAATTAAGAGTGCCTGGCACAAAAGAGATACTCAATAATATTTGTTGAATAAATTTAAAGCATGAAATAAATGGCTGAATTAGTAGATCTTTTTTCTCATTTCCTCTTTTACTATACCCAAAATATACACCTTAACCATGTCCATTCACTATAGCTGTGGATGACGACAATGAAAAAATATTCATTGGAGGCAATTTCAACATTTTTGAAAAGTATTCCCAAATCATTAACATAAATGCAGAATCAATTTATTCAACAAAAGAATTTTAAACATAGAAAAATTTTTTCTTTGTGTAACACATTGTATTAGACATGGGTGACAACAAAAGAAAGCCATGTTCCTGCCCTCAAGGATTTTTTAAACTCCCTAATTGAACAGACACAAAACACGAGTTAAAAATAAGTCTACACATATTATTCAAGGGGAAATGAAGAAGGACTAAATACAAGGAAAAGGCTGAATGTGGTTCTACCAAGCCTTTAGATTCCATGCTGGAATACTAGTGCTGTGAAGTGGCCCTCTTAAAACCCATTGGCAGTAAATGATGATTTAGTCTTAAGAAAGTGTGGGGGCAGAACAGAAGATTAGACAAAAGGATTTTAGTAGTCCTAATATCCAGTGCGGTGTTTCCTAATTTTCAATTTGTAAGAATAGCTTTTGTTTAGAATTGTGCTTCTCTATTATAAGAAACAATTATTTCTCTAGAATCATGGATTTCTGATACCATATTCCCCTTTACCTTCTCCTGTGACTAATGTGTGTCTCAAGTTATTTGCCATTTTCACTTTAAATAGTATTTATGAAGGTCCTGCTATTGCTTTATAAAACTTTTATTTTCATATTACTCTTTGTTTCCCAAATCATCTACAGTTAACTGTCTAAAAGCTTTTATCAAAGGAAAACCCTTTCACTGAGCTAGTCCAAGCATTTAAATTAGTTAATCCACTATTTTTTAAAGTACTTGTGCTGCTTTTACTGTTATAATGTGTACTGTTATGACTTCTAGATTATGTTAATATGGAAACTCTCCAAAGTCTAATACTCGCAAAGCACATCATTGTTCAACCCGCCACAACCCATGCATTTACTCATAGCAATAAATTCAATCACATTACTTCAGTTATGGCAGATTTACATTCAATCGCTATCAGTCAGTACATTGACTATAAAATTTGGCTCAGAGTTTTTCATTACCTCTGTGGAACTTCTCTTTCATTCCTATCAGAATTGGCCTCCATTTATACGTGCCCTCAGTCCTTACTTACTAATAATAAATCTCAAATTCATCAACCCCCTTGTCAGGTATCTCATCCATGGGCAACAGAGCATTCACCTGTTACGCCCCAGAGCTGTGGAATTCCCTGATCTGAACACTCTTCTCCAAAACCCCTGAGCTTTATAAATCCCTTTTTGAGTCTCACTTATTAAAATTTGCTTTAAATATTTGATCTGCCACTGACACATGCTATACGCTTGGCTGTCATAAAAAAGAAGAAGAAACGTATTTTTATTTTCCTTACCATGTATGAGAAGAATTGAAATTTCTTCTTCTTTCTTCATATTTTATATTTTTCATCATTCTTTTCTTTCTCCTTTTCATTACCAGCAGAACAATCAAGCAAAATAGGTTTTGGTTACTAACTAGGGCTTAGAATTAAAGATTTCATATGCTACTAGGCTATAAGTAAACTGGCCGCAATATCATTAATTACTTTGCGGCCTTGAGATGGGTATAGATTTTTTTAAGGAGGCGACATGAAGTTAGAAGAAAAATAGCTAGTTCCTTATAGCCACCCTCCTCCATTGCCTAGCCCACATGGCAGATTTCTCTTTTATTTTTATTTTAATTAATAAATATTCTGGATTACCTCCATTCATCTGCCAGAAGAAAATAGAAAAATACCTTTAGTGGCACTAAAGTAGATATTATTTTTGTACTGCTATGGTGATAATGCTGCTATCTCAAGCATTGATAGTTTTAATCCAAAGTAGTCTATTCTTCCCAGGATTTGCCAACATTAAAATAACCTTTTTCAAGTTTCCCTTGATACATAGCTTAGTGCTATGCACACAGTAGGTGTTTTGTAAATGTTTGTAGAAAATGAAATCAATTACTTCTGTCTCAGCTCTTTAATTTTATTTCTATTCCTCTTTTAAAAGGATCCAGTTTTCTCTCTGATTCTCTACTCATTAGAGTACAGTTTTTCTATCATCCTCATCTCTCTCCTACAGCTGCTGATCAGCCTATTGATTAGGAACCAAAAAGTCAGCCAACAGCCCAAAAAGGGCATTATATTCCAGCACAATTTCCCTCTAAGTGCTTAATGTTCTTTAAACCCCTCATTCAATTAGATGGCACAAGCTATTATATACAAGTGCCCCACCACAGAAAATTACAAGCTCATATCTGAGAGATACAGAGAAAGGAAGGCAAAGAGTAAGTTAATAGGACATTGTCTGTATGTTTGGTAAATCCTGTGGAGTTTGGGGCTCAAGGTTAATATCAGAGTGCCAGGCTATGGAATTTAAACAGCAGGTAGATTTCAATAGCACAGAATATGAGAGAGAACAGAGTACTGATAGATATATTATTCTGTTATTTGAAATGGCTACTGTGCAAAATTCAGCATTTCCTCTGAAACATTTTGAAGCAGGTGATTTAGGCCATGGAAAATAATGGCAAAGTTAAAACTTTTTTTAAGGTTAAGGTAACATAACTGAAGTAGGTGACCTGATTGAATTTCACTAAGTGGCAAAGTTTTGAGAGGTCTGTTGTATTTAAGGATAGTAAGAAGAAAGCATTATTTCTTTGTGGGAAGGACTATAAAATTAACATCATAAGACATAAAACTTAACATATGAAGATTATTAGCCATGACCATTGTAGGTAGGCACTGGATTTTACAGAAGAATGGAAATAATGGTGCTTCCACTAACTATTGCGTGTCTCTTTCAATAGAAAACCACATGGCCAGGGTAGTAGAATGAAAGCTGGTTTTAACCCTACTCACCTCCTCTCCCTGGTGCCTTTGTGCAATGCACAAATGTACAACTGTACCCGAACACCAGAAAAAGTTCTTATAAAAATATAAAAACACGAGCAGACTAGACAGTTTCATCATCTATTCTGGGTAAAGTTTGAAGTTTATAACTACGATACAACCTTTTCTTTATGTAACAATGGAAAATGCTTACAGCAAAATTAATAAATAACAGGCATAATGATACAAGCTTTGCCAAATCTCAATCTTTAAACTGTCAACCTAAAATAATCAAAAGAGTTAGAATTTAGATTAAAAAGAGTAGATTCAAGCTCAAAGTTTGAGGATGGTCACCCTGGAAACACAAATGCCAAAGAATGGAGGTCAGTGTTCTGAAGTGCAGAAGTTTGGGATCATTGACATAGATACAATTTAGAGAAGCCAAACAGAATTTCAACATCTTTATATATAAGGCTTAATGGATAGTTATAACAATCTGATTAATTGAGGTGGTCTTTTTTTTAAAAAAAAGAGGTTGAAACAGAATTTCAACATCTTTGTATATAAGGCTTAATGGATAGTTATAACAATCTGATTAATTGAGGTGGTCTTTTTTTTTAATAAATTAAAGGTATATTTAATATTCTACACCAAAGATGTAACAGCCACGGGGTTTTGAGTAACATCTGGTCTGAGTCAGATACAGGACAGTAAAGTACACAGTTAATCTATAACAAAGATCAGTGATTGAAAAGCAGGCAGGTCTGGTCTCTGGTTTCTCCTAGTCATTTACAGAAAAAGAACAACGGGGAGTAAAATTAATGTATAATCTAAGAAACAGAGGTTGGAGACATGCTATGTGACTCAGTCTCTAGGGCTTAACTTCCCCGTTGGCACAATAAATTTAGAGGGTCCTGAAATTTTATTTTCTTTCACAAAGCTAACTTTATGGAGAAGGTAAATTTATTTTATCCATTTCACAAAAAGAAAATTTAAAATGAGAGAGTAAGCAGTTTGGCTGATGTCACATACAGTTAGTAAGTGTCAGAGACAGGATTGGAATCCATAAAACATGATTATACAATGCTTAACCATGATATAAACTACTAACCTAAAGCAGATTATAGTGTTTATTTGTTTCTTTATTAAATAATAATTTATTCTGTAAAAAATTAAGAATAAATAAACCCAAAAAAGAGGACTAAAATCACCCATAATCTCATTACATAGAAAACTACCATAAATATTTTAGAGATATTTTCAGGTTTTTTTTCTATCGGATAATTTCTGTTAGATAATTTATATGTTGTTTGCAACCAATCTTTATTACTTAACATTTTCCACTTAAATTTAACACTTCTATAATTTAATTCAAGATACTCTGGTTTCTCTTCAGATCATATAAATTTTTCGCCTTTTACTAATTTAATTCAAGTACATGCATATATGCACTTTTTATGCATAACATCTTACCCAATAAATCTCATATTTTTAATAATGTTTCCAGTTTTTGTCTTTGCTGTCAATAAAACAATCCTACAAACATCCTTATCACTAAATATTTAGAATCATGCTTATTTCCTTACTATTTTGAATACTTCTTACAACTTGCTGAGTTGACCTCTTAAAAGTTATACCAATTTACAATCACGAACTATATGTAACAATACCTGTCTATCTCCACACTAACCAACTGAGGATATTTTCATTTTAAAACAACAAATAGCTTTCCAATTGATGAGACAAAGGTGGTATTTCAATACTATTTTAATTTTATTTCTTTAATAATACGTAATTTAGGATATATATATATTAAAAAATATATATATATATATACATATATATATATATATATATATTTTTTTTTTTTCTCTTTTTTTTGAGACGGTGTCTCACTCTGTTGCCAGACTGGAGTGCAGTGGTGTGATCTTGGCTCACTGCAACCTCCGCCTCCTGGGTTCTAGCAATTTTCCTGCCTCAGCCTCTCTAGTAGCTGGGACTACAGGTGTGCACCACCATGCCCAGCTAATTTTTGTATTTTTAGTAGAGATGGGGTTTCACCATGTCAGTCAGGATGGTCTCGATCTCTTGACCTTGTGATCCACCCACCTCAGCCTCCCAAAGTGCTGAGATTACAGGTGTGAGCCACTGTGCCCGGCCTAGAATATTTTTTAATGTTCATTGATCTTTTATATTTTGGAGAGTAGATTGCCAACATTTTGCCTATTATTAGGATATTGTCCTTTCCATTAACTTGAAATATCTCTTCGTCTTCAAGAATATCACTGTTTACCACATGTATTACAGCTGTCTTTCCCATTTCATGATTTGTACTTAATTTTGGTTGGGATGGTTTTGCCATGGTAAATTTTAGTATTTTACACTTAAATCTCACAATCCTCTTTTTTTTATGATTTGTAGAGTATTGCTTTTTGTGGTTGGAAGGCATTACTACAGAAAGATCAGATAAACTTATCCTTTTTCTAAGTTTTTTTTATGTTTAAAATATTAACACATGGAAATTATGTTACATGGTATGAAGTAGATATTTAATTCTCACCTTAAATCATGAATCACTTGATCCAAAATTGTTCACTGAATTACCTAACGTTTGTTTACTAATTGGAGGTGCCACTTCTATCAATTACATAATTGTTATATATCTGGGGGTCTGATTCTGACCTTTCTGGCCTTTTCCTTTGATCAGCTGCATAGATTATTTTACCAACTACTAAAAAAGCCACCCCATATTGATGCTGTTTCTTAAAGCTTTCTTGGTCCTCTGGCTTCTTATTTTGAATGAATTATAAATCAGAAATTCTTGATCAGAATGTGTAAAAGGATGAAAAATATTAAAAGAATACGGAACCCATCAATGTCCAACCCAATGAATTCAAAAGGAATGACCTCAATATTGAGGTTTTTAAAGGGTTAGATGAAAATAAAAGAAATGAAAATAGATAAGGTAGCCTGATCTGTTAGCTGGATGATCATATTGTAAGTGTTTTTATTTTAAACATACAGAGTAATCACATATGTAAAAATTATCCCAAGGAGATGTTTTGGAATTATCTCTGAAGGTCTGTATGAAATACATGAAATATTTAGCTTAAGCCACTGTGCTACTGCCACTACTATTAATAATAACAAGTAGACTATGGGCAGCATTAAATAAAAGAAACTGGATAAATGTAATTAGGCTCACCTTGTGAAAGTTAATGCACTATGTAACTCAAAGTCTTGAGCCTTTATTAAAGGTGTAATATTTTTATTGAAATCAAGGGGACAATGTAAAGATTCACTTAAAATGTATCTTTTAGGATGGACGTGGTGCCTCACGCCTGTAATCCCAACACTTTGGAAGGTCGAGGCAGGTGGATCACTTGAGGTCAGGAGTTCCAGACCAGACTGGCCAACATGTGGAAACCCTGTCTCTACTAAAAATACAGAAATTAACTGGGTGTGTTAGCTCATGCCTGTAATCCCAGATACTAGGGAGGCTGAGGCAGAAGAATTGCATGAATCCAGGGGGTGGAGGTTGTAGTGAGCCAAGATCATGCCATGGCACTCCAGCCTGGGCGACAGAGCAATACTCCATCTCAAAATAAATAAATAAATAAAATTTAAAAATGTATATCTATATTTTATTACATCCTGTCTTTTTTGTGGTTGTTTTGTTTTCTGTTTTAACGTAAAACTTTATCAGAAGCAGCTAGCTACCTATTCAAGTAACTGATTCACTTAAAATACGTCTTCTATTACTTCTCTCTTTGTATTTTTGTTGCTGTTGTTGTTTCGTTTTTTGTTTTAACATAAAACTATATCAGAAGCAGCTCGCTACCTATGCAAGTACCTGAGTGGATAGGGCCAGGCTACAAACTGCTCCTCCAGAGATTCACTTTGTTTACCAGAGAACACACATATACACTTTGGGTCTCCCAGAAAATGCAGCTCCCTAGTAAATGTCATTTGTTAGAAATGATGTATTTCTCTTATTACCTATTTCAGTAGTCAGAAAAATGTTAGAAAATTTTACCAAGGCTACACACCACACTGTCAGAGTTGTTCCAGGAAAAAGACAAGCAAAGGGAATGCTCATCTTTCAAGGGTACTCCTATTTTGTCACTACTTGAGAAATATAACACCTACTGTCCCCGAAGTTTTTCCCACCTGCTAAGGTTGTGAGACACACAGACTGGTCAGCCAGCTTAAATTTCACAGACCAAGTATGAAGTAAATAAGCCATTCTATTTAGCTTTGAAAAAAAAAATCTATTGGAAGTGACAGAATGGCTGATGAATAGAGAGTATTTTGAAGTGTGCAGCAGAAATTGGCCTTGGTAAAGAACTTTTTTTTAAAGGACATTCTTCCTTTTTGTTGTTAGAATGGATAAAATTGGGCAATTTTCCTATAACCACTTGATTCTTTTCCTCTGTTATCAAGATGGAGTTTCCCAAGAAGGGAATCACACTTGTGATTCATAGCAAAAAATGAAAAGTCAGCTGATTCACAGGAAAAACGGTGCATTCTTCATCCTTTTTGTGATCAAAGGAAAATATGGTTCGGTTTCTGATTTAGGAAGCTGCCATTCACAAATGTGGCAAATTTTTGCCTATAGGAGCAGATTTAGCTATCAGTTTCCTGCCCCAGGGACAGAGTTTCATTTCACTCATCACTTCAGAGTACCAATTGACCAAAACTCACAAACCTGGCCCGGCGCAGTGGCTCACGCCTGTAATCCCAGCACTTTGGGAGGCCAAGGTGAGCTGATTACCTGGGGTCAGGAGTTTGAGACCAGCCTGGCCAACATGGTGAAACCCCATCTCTACTAAAAATACAAAAAAAATTAGCCGGCCATGGTGACGGGTGCCTGTAATCTGAGCTGCTCAGGAGGCTGAGGCAAGATAATTATTTGAACCCAGGAGTCGGAGGTTGCAGTGAATTGAGATTGCACCACTGCACTCCAGCCTGGGTGACAGAGTGAAATTCCATCTCAAAGCAAAAAAAAAAAAAAAAAAAAAATTCACAAAGCTGCCCGATGCTATTATATTTCTTCAAGAGTAGAATGATGATAACCAAAATTAGCCACAATTTAAAAAATTATGTAATGTTACTATTTTCCAGGCCTTTTTCTAAGAACTTTTTACATATTAACATTTAATTTCCATAAAACTGTAAGATAAGTAGTATTATTATCCCCATTTTTCAGACAACAAAACTAAAAAAATATTAGGCAACTTGGCCAAAGGCCCAAAGAAAATTAAAAGTACAAATGATACAGAAATTCTCCCCCTTACTAGAATATACAATACCACTCCTCTAGAGTTGGGTACTATTCCACTATAAAGAAATAGTCTTCTATATATTATTTGCATGAGATCAAAGGTAACAAAGAGTTCTAAACTTTCTCTCTCAATTCCTCTAACAGTGCCTTACGAAGAGCACATATTATGGGTTCACTTACAGAAAATATCCAAAAAAAAAAAAAGCAAATATGGGGAGACAGAAATATACTGACACAGAAAGTAGATGAGATGTTGTCCAAGCTTGGGGATGGGCACGGCGAGTGACTAAAAAGACACAAGATTCATTTCTAAGGTGATTAAATGGTTCTAAATTAGATTGCAATGATGAATGCACAACTCTGTAAATATAAATATACTAAAAATTATTCAAATGTACACTTAAAACAGGCACATTTTGTAGTATATAAGCTATATTTCAATAGAATTTTTTTTCAAACAAACAAAAAAAAACTAGCACATTTCATTTCAACCACTCTGCAAGAGAAAGTAGCACAGTGGTTCTTTCCCAGTCAGGAGGGTGATATTCTTGAAAAATCTCATCATAGGTAAAACAATTTTAAACCTGATTGAGGAGAGCTTGGGAAAGGAACTATGACTGTTGTACAAGGACACACTATTATTATTTTATTTGTTCTAAATTAGTAAACAATTGGGAAATTATCATAAAGAAAATGTGGGGGGGTGTGTGTTTAAGAGAATATCAATGCCATATTATACAGCGTGTTTTAATACATAGTAATTGTGGATACTTTACCAATATTCTGTATTTACCACTTCCTATTCCCTAGAAATATTCTTCTCTCACTTTCTACATGAAATTTATAAATATATTTTGTGTTGCTTTAGACAATATGCACAACAGAAGTCATCCTTTGTGTGTGTGGTCGTTTTTCTAAATGTTCTAGCTCAAATGGCCAGTTAGTGATCTGTAGTTGTAAAAGTCTGGATTCTTGAACAAAATTGCTGTAACATTGAAGGGATTGCCACACGGCCAGTACAATGATTTAAAAGGTAATAAATATATCAATCCCTTTTGAAAATGTTTCTTTATATTATATTATAACATTCAAATGTCCCCTTTTAACATTTTTGCCCATGATAGAATTGCAGTTTCAAGTATGTCAAATGTCCTGATTCTTTTTTTTTTCAGACGATTAATTACCTTGCTTCTATGATTTATTTCAGGTGTTCACTACTTCTCTCATTATAGGTAATTTACCTTTTAGAAAACCTAAATCACAGTTAATTCTTCTAGAAAGATATTTATTTTACTCTCTATGTATGGCTAATACTTTACTGGAGAGAGAAATTTGAGGCAACTTGCCTCCCCACAAAATTTAATATTATACAGTTTTTTCTGTATATTTTGTGAACTCTTCTTTCTCATTGGGATATTCCTTAATGATTCTCTTACCTTATTAGGTTCACACTTAAAACATCCAGGTAGATGAGAAAATATGTAATTTTGATGTTATTAGGATTTTTGCTACCTGCTTCAGTAAATCATTCTACATTTAAAAATCTGTATGCTTATCTTACAACTAAATTAGTTTTGTCTAAAGGAATTCCAAAGACAAAGGGATTTTAAAAGACTGAAGGACTGGAGGTAGAGAATATAGCAAATATTCAGCACAAATCATCGATGTCTACATAGACATAGGAGCAAGAAACTAGAACTCCATCTTAAGGGAACAAGCATAGTGTAGGGTTTAGGAGCACTGGCTTGGATCTAGAATATCCCCAATTTGCTTCTTGCTTCTGCTACAATTAGTTTTGTTGTCTTGGACAAATTAATTATTCTTTCTGTGCTTCAGTTTCCTCACCTAAAAAATGGACCTAAAAAGAGTACCTATGGCCGGGCACGGTGGCTCACGCCTGTAATCCCAGCACTTTGGGAGGCCGAGGCAGGCAGATCACCTGAGGTCAGGAGTATGAGGCCAGCCTGGCCAACATGGTGAAACCCTGTCCCTACAAAAAATTAGTTTGGCATGGTGGTGTGCACCTGTAGTCCCAGCTACTCAGGAGGCTGAGACAGGAGAATCGCTTGAACCCAAGAGGCGGAGGTCATGCCATTGAGATCACGCCACTGCACTCCAGCCTGGGTGACAGAGCCAAATTCTGTCTCAAAAAAAAAAAAAAAAGAGGGCCTATGCCATATTTGTGAGCATTAAATGTAAACATTAATTTGTGAACATGTATTTACATGTAAAGCAATTAAAATACTTTCTGATATAAATGTTAGCTGTTTTTGTCTTGTAGGTCTGTGATTCTCAATCTGGGAAGAGGGAAATATGTCTGAGTCACTTGGCAAGGTTTGCACACATTCCAATTAGCCTTTCCCTCTCACAAATACTGTATTATGTGATGGGAATCTCAAAGATTTCTGTCAGGGAAGAGACATATTTGCCTTTTACAAAAATATCACTCTGAGGGCACTATGGAGGGGGAGAAAAGAAACAAATTAGGAACTTATTGAAGAAATTCAGACAATGCTCTGAAAGAAAGCTATAGTCACAGGAATAGAAAAAGGTAAGATGGACACGAATATGTTCATGAAAGCAAAAAGGAGTGTCTAGTCACCAGGTAAGTATAGGACAACACTTATGATTCTGCCACAGGAACCAGAACGGATGGAGCTACCATTGGCCATGAGGGAATTAAAGATGGAAAAGAATATGTAGCACCTGTCTTTTTCATAACTAGTGAACTAGTGAAAATATACTCAGAAGTACACCTATTAGGAATAGCTGCAACACAGACTGAGCAAAAAGGGATATTCCTTCTGCCACTTTTAGGGGAATATGCATCTCTTCTTTACAGCACCCAAAATCTACCAGTTACTCTTCTCCAAAATCATATAGAGCACAGAGGCTTCTGTCCCATGCCTCTCATTAATGTCAAAACTCTATCATCAGTAATTCCACTAGCAACAGACTCCGAACAACACTGACATAAAGAGTATTTTAGTAATTCAGCCACTCAGTAATGACGCTCTGAGTTAATATGCTCAGCTGATGTTTAGAACTGAAATTCAAGAGCCAGCACAGGATGGAGAGTGACACTGGAAACGTGAGCAAAGCCTGCATGCCCAGACCCACTTTGCCTATGACAGCAGGCTGAGATGGAGAAGTTATCTCTTGCAAACAATCCAAATGATCAGTCCTCTTCTAGTGGAAGGATGGTCTTTGTGGGATGAGTGAGGAATCACACAAGTAAGACCATCAAAGATGTGAGGGAAATATTCATTCCAGGATGTGAGATTGGGAAAAGGAATGAAGAAATAATATATTTCCACAGGTCATGTGTCATCCCACAGTGCACAGGATCAATTCGTACAGCAGGGTAGCAAGAGCTGAAATTTCAAGGAAATCCAGGAGGCACTGGTACCTAGAAATTGTACATGATTCTTGGAGAAAATTGATGTAATGTGGCACATCAATGGAAGGGCCAACAAGGTTTTTATTTTAATGATAGAACTGAATTCTGAAATTAAGCACAGCAGGTAGAAAATGGATCTAGCACAGATGTCAAAAGCTATCATTGGTTTTGAGATAAAACACTTTTTTTTTCTTTTCCTTAAGCCCAAGCCAGTGGACTATGTAGGTCAATGATGTCCAGCAGGAAAAAACAAACATCCTAAGTGCTAGTGTCTTTCTGAGGAAGTTTTGAAATGCTGCTGACATTCAAAGACCTTTTTTTTTTTTTTTAGCAGATCTTTCATTATTAAATAGAAAAAAAAAAAAGCAGCCATATTTTCCAGGAATCACATTTCACTGCATAACAGGCAAAAATGTAAAAAATAAGTAGTTGAAATCAGCACCAGTTAAAACAAAACAAATAAATAGAGTCCAGAATTCTAGCGGGTGTCTGACATCAAGCAAGACTTGGATGGCCAAGAATGTAGCCTTGGCTTTGTGCTCATTCTTGTCCCTCACACAATTTAAATAATCTTCCTTTTGATATGTAGATTGTGTCTCCAGAAATAGCTTTTTTCTCTCCCATTTTCCAGCTCCCTACAAGAGAGAAGTGGCACAGCAATTTTGTAAATGATTTTTTAACTGATTTCTTATTGAATTCTTTCCTTATCTTAGTCACTGCAATCTTGTATTGAACGGAAAATGGCAAATTCTTCTGTCATTTATCATTGTTTCGAAGAGAAAACCAGAACAAAGTTGAACTTCTCTTTTTTAATCAGAATGATATTTAGTCACAGAAAATCCAGGCATGCTTTCCCTTTCTGTTTAGGGGAGAAAAAACTACTATAATTGATTTTTGGCTACCAGAAAAAGTATTTACCTATGTGGTATGATTCAAATACCACCAGCAAGGCTTTATCCCCAAAAAACATCTAAATCTCCAGTAAAACACTGAGTCATTTCGCAATTAGATATTGTGTATTTTAAGTCTTTGAAGGGACTCTTAATCAGTTAAGTAAATTTGATAATATAAATAACCTAGGGAAAGGCAATATATTAAGTCAAATTCTAAAATACTTTTTGTATAAGTCACTGAAATTACTCCTTAAATTTTACATAGAAACTCAACACATAAATACAGTTGAACAAATGGGATTAGAACTTTGTCTGTATTTCTTTCTTTTGTGTTTCAACCCAAATCCATGTGGCCTCTGAGGCATTTCTATGAAGTGTCAATGATCACTAGGAGAAAGTTTGGAAACCATTAAGATAGAGAGTAAACAGGAACAAGGTCACCATTAAGATAGAGAGTAAATAGGAACAAGTTCACACTATAAGGAGGTTGGTTTCTTTTTGTAATTATGTCTGCATGTGAGTCTATCATTAAACAATCATTCAACATTGTTATATTCCAGATATTATGCCAAGAAATGGGCATACAATGATAAAAGACAGGTTTGCAGTTCTTAGAAACTGAAAGTTTCCTGAAGTAGCAAGACAAAAAAAAAAAGGTGGGGGGCAGTAACTACAAATATGTGTTAAGAAATAAGTCACATAGATTTCCATTTCCATCAATATTGAGTTACAGGGATCAGATTTACCCTAACATGAAAAAAGTCCGCAACACAAAAAAAATAGATAATGCTAAATGAATTCACGGGAGGCCATTATTTTGGACTAAGCCCTAGCCGACCGGAACTAACCAGAATGGAGTCACTCATGCTGATAGCCACATAACCGAAATGAGCTCTGAAACTTGCCAATTTTCCAAAACAACAACAAAAAATAAAAACAAAAACAAAACCAGGAGATTCACAGCAGCCACCTAGAAGAGGCCCAGTTTTCCTGAGCTGGCATGATAGGAAAATTTTCTGTTTTAACCTTCATAAGGAAAGTCACTTTGAAATGACCAATCCTTTTATCATTCCTCATTTCTGTTGTCTTCAGCTTTTTTCTACCTATATAGCCAAGCTCCTCTGTTCAGCTCATCAAAATACTCATTTTAACATACAGAATGAGATATTTCCTAATTCTGGAAAGCAAATAAGAGCAAATTAGATCTTCAAACTAAATTTGTTGTATTTTTGCCCTTTGACAACAAAATATATTAAAAATCATTTTTAGGACTTTGGATATTAGGCAATGAAGGAATAATCTCTGATAGAAACTCAACATATGAAGATGTTGAGATCAAGGAGGTGAGTCCCAGGATTGTCCCAGCCTACTGAGTGAATAAAACTTTCTGGCTGCAGTGCAGGGAGGAACAACCTCGGCGAGGTTTTGCAGGGGTAGTGGGAGGTGCACAGTGAGTTGAAGAGAGAATTTCGAGTAAGGAGACGTCAAGTTGGCTAGACTTGGCTGAGCGCTACACCAAGGAGCTGCACAGAAAAAGAGCTCAGAGGGTTGCCTTCTAGTTGTCAATGAGTATTGATGCATGTGAGGAAACTACTCAAGACCAGGGAAGAAATCATGTGGGAATATTAGAAGAAGGAATATCCAGAACACAAACAAAGCCAGAAATAGTTCCTATTCCCACCATCTAGAGTAAAATATTCCATGACTCCTGAAGCATCAGGTTGAAATCTCAGACGGGTTTTGTTCCAGTGGCAGGGGAAATTAATTGAAAACTAAATACTCTGGTTCCAACTAACAAATATTAAGAGCAAGCACTTAAAAGATCAAACGATTCCACAAGTCACTTAACCACATTCCAGGATAAAGGTAAAAAATATTTGTAGAAAAAAAAATAGCACCCCAAAAGCATACAATTTACAACAGCTGACACTTTTTCAAAAATTTTTAGGCATTCAAACAATCGGTTAAATATAACTGATGATAAGAAAAATCAATCAATATACACTGATCTAGAAATGCTATACTATAGATAATAAAATTATTAAACAAGTCCAATAATACGGTTTCAGTTATATTTTGTATGTAGAAGTTGCTGAAGGAAAGATTGACTGCATAAATTAGAGACATGGAAGCTATAAAAAATCTCAAATCAAACTTTTAGAAATGTCTGGGTAAACAAAATATGCTGGAGAGGATTAACACTAGATTATACATGGCAAAAGAGAAGATGAGTAAAATGAAAAATATGTCAGTAGTTATTACCCCATGTGAAATACAGAAAGAAAAATGACAAAAAATTTACCTGAGCATCAGTGAGCTATGTGGCAACTTCAAGAAACCTACTGTATACAGAATTGGAGTCAATGAGGAGGGAGAGAAAGTGAGGAGACCAACAATATATTTGGAAAAATCACAGCCAATTTTTACTGAAAACTATACAACTACAGAAGCAGAAAATTCAATAAACTCCAAATTCAAAAAGCATAAAATAAAATAATTAAATTCTGAAAACCTGCAAGAAAGCACATCATAACCAGTTTCTTAACTAGTGATAAAGAGAAAGCCTAAAAGCAGCAAGAGGGCCAGGTGCAGTGGCTCACACCTGTAATCCCAGAACTTTGGGAGGCCGAGGCAAGCAGATCACGAGGTCAAGAGATCTAGACCATCCTGGCCAACATGGTGAAACCCCGTCTCTACTAAAAATACAAAAATTAGCTGGGCATGGTGGCATGCATCTCTAGTCCCAGCTACTCAGGAGTCTGAAGCAGGAGAATCGATTGAACCCGGGAGACAGAGATTGCAGTGAGCCAAGATCGCGCCACTGAACTCCAGCCTGACGACAGAATGAGACTCAAAAAAAAAAAAAAAAAAAAAAAAAAAAAAAGCAGCAAGGGAAAAGAGGACTATTGTGTACAGGGAAATTAAAGATGACAGCCAAAACAATTCAAGTCAAAAAAGAACAGAGAAATATCTGTAAAGTAATAAAATAACCAAAAAAGTAACAAACAAAACCCAGGCAGCCTGAAATTTAGTCTCAGCAAATATATCTATAGAAAATAAAGGTAAGTAGTTTTTTCTAGACACATAAAACATGAAAGAATTTATCACCAGCATATATATCCTGCAAGAAATTACTAAGGAAGTCTTTTACATCCAGAAAAAAAGGATATTTTATAATATAAATAAAATAAAATAGAATTTTAAAAAATCTCACATCCAGAATAAAAAGGATTGTGGCTGGGCACAGCGGCTCACACCTGTAATCCCAGCACTTAAGGAGGCAAAGGTGGATGGAACGCTTGAGGCCAGGAGTTTGAGAGCAGCCTGGCCAACATGGTGAAACCCTGTCTCTACCAAAAATACAAAAATTAGCCAGGCATATTGGCACGCGCCTGTAATTTCAGCTACTCGGGAGGCCAAGGCAGGAGAATCACTTGAACCTGGGAGGCAGAGGTTGCAGTGAGCTGAGATCACACCACTGCACTCCAGCCTGGGTGACGAGTGAAACTCCATCTAAAAAAAAAATGATTTATATATACATGGAAATATTAATGTACCCAAAGAATTTTTAGGTGTAACACTAAACCACCACACACTAAAAAAAGGACTAATTGGACCTCAATAAAATTAAAATTTGCTCTTCAAAAGGTACTGTTAAAAGAATGAAGAGAATTAAAAATGTTAACTAATGGAAAAATAAAAGACTTTTTAATTACTTAATATTAAAAGATTACTGATTGTTTAAAAAGTAAAAATAGAAATGTATTATGAAGTTCATAATATATGAAGATAAATAAAACACATGAAAAAGACACAATGATCAAAATAATATAGTAGTGATCTGAAGATAGACAAATAGATTAATAGACCAAAATAGACAGTTTAGAAATATCCATGCACATTTATGGTAAATTGATTTTTACAAAAATTCAAAGAAAATTCAATGGAAAAGGATGGTCTTTGAAATAAATGATGCTGGAATAATTGGCTACCCATCTCCAAAAAATGAATAGATTCTGTAAATTAACTTAAAATGGATCATAGATTTAAATATAAAGTCTATACTTATAAAGCTTGTAGAATAAACAACAGGATAAAATTTTTTGTGACTTTCATTTAGGTAATGAGTTTTTAAACATTAACACTACAATAACTGTCAATTAAAAGATAATTAATTGGACTTTGGACTTCAACAATATTAAGATATTCTATTTTTCCACAGATACTGTTAAGAGAATAAAATACAAGTAGGAACCTGTGAGAAAATACTTTCAAACATATATCTGATAAAGAGCATATATCCAGATCATATAAAGAACTCTCAAGAGTTAATAATAAAAAAATTGAGCAATTTATTTAAATAGGCCATTAAAGAAGAGATATAAATGGTAAATAAGCAGATTTTAAAATGAATCAATGTGTTTAGTCATTAGACATTGAAGCAAATAAAAATTTAATGTGATACTTCTACATACATATTCAAATGTCTAAAATTAAAAAGATTGACCATAATAAAGATTGATGAAGATGTGGAGCAACAGAAACTTCCATACAATGTTGATGGAAATAAAAAATGATGAAACCACTTTTAATATGTTTTGCAATTTTTTCAAAGTTAAATATATACCTACTTATATCCAGTCATTCAAATCTTTGATAGTCATTGAAAAAAATAAATACATATGGCATAAAAATCTCAATTATGGAAGATAAGTTCTAGACGTGTGCTGAACCACATTGCTTCTACGGTTAACTATATTGTATTGCACACTTAAAGATTTAAGAGGGTGACCTCATGTTAAATGTCCTCACTAAAATAAAAATTCATAGATAAATGTTTATAGCTGCTTTATTTTTAACAACCAAAATGTGGAAACGACCATCAGGTAAATAGCTAAATAAACCATACTGTTTCCATACAATAAAATACTACTTCAAAATATAAACACATAAACTGTTGATTCATATAACAATATAGATGAATCTGAATATAATTATGCAAAGTGAAATAAGCCAGAAAACTAAATACATATTATCTGATCCCATTAATATAAAAATCTATACAATAAAACCTCATCTATAATGACAGAAAGCAGATCAATGTTTGCCTGGGATGGGGGTTAAGGTCTCCGAAACAGGAGTTATAAAGGGACTGAGGGACATTTTGGGGGTAACGGCTGTGTCCATTATCTTGTTCGGAGTTTCATGATGTATACATATATATGTATACATATATATGAGTATACATATATATGAATGTCAAAACTTACCAAATTATGCATTTTTTCGTTTTTAAAATGTTTAATTTATTTTTAGCCTATTTATGGGTACATATTAGGTGTATATATTTATGGGGAACATAGCTGTCTTGATACAGGCACACGATGTGAAATGAGCACTTCGTTGAGAATGGGGTATTCATCCCCTCAAGCATTTATCCTTTAAATGTGGACATTTTATTGTATGTCTATTCTACCTCAATAAGCCTATTAAACACGAATTCCAAATGTATCAAAAACCTACTAAATGTAAACTAAAGAAGAAAATTTAAAGCAAAAAAATTAAAAGGAGAATTACATATTATGGAAGTAAGTTTAGAGTATGATGTGACTACATAAAGGTGGCATGCATCCATGCTTGTAAGGTCATGGAAACCTTTTTTTGCCAGACTGAAGATGGGCATTCCTGGCTGAGAAAGCAAAATACTCTCATATAGCAGAGACTGCAGTTGAATTAATACAGCAAAGCTAGCCAAAATATAACAAACAAATGTCAGCAATCAAACTGTAAGTATCATTCTCCCCATCATGCTCCTCTGACCTTATGAACCCCGATTTCTAGGACACATAGTGGTCATTGAGACAAAAGTATAACCTTGGATGATTTGATGAAACACAGCTATGCTCAGTAGAAAAGACTGTGTGTACATGGGGTGTTTAGACAAAAATGCTACTGGAAAAACCTATTTCACCCCACTATCACCTTTGCTTTCACACTATTTTTATATCAGAACTTTTTGAAGGGGAGGAATATAAAATAACCTGAACCCAGCTGGAGCTGTCTGATGGAGGATTTCAGTACACCAAAAAGTACTCCAGAGATGCATTATAAAGAAATTCAGGAGAGAAACTCTGGATCAGACCTTTTGATTTTTCTAATTTTGCATATCTGTCAGTTATAAAACATCACAACCACAAGTATTCATTTAGTTTTTAAATAAATTGCATAAATGCAACAGTCTTAATATACTTTTATAAACAGATACAGGTTTAAAAATGTCAATGTCAGTGGCATTTAACGTTCAAGAGCAACTCCATCTTGAATAGGGACAGGGTAAAATGAGGCTGAGACCTACTGGGTTGCATTCCCAGACAAGGCATTCTAAGTCACAGGATGAGTTAGGAGGATGGCACAAGATACTTGGTCAAAAAGACCTTGCTGATAAAACAGGTTGCAGTAAAGAAGCCGGCCCAAACCCACCAAAACCAAGATGGCCACGAGAGTGACCTCTGGTCGTCCTCACTGCTACACTCCCACCAGTGCCATGAAGGTTTACAAATGCCATGGAAACGTCAGGAAGTTACTCTATATGGTCTAAAAGAGGAAGGCATGAATAATCTATCACTTGTTTATAGCATATCTTGAAAAAATAACCATTAAAATGCACAGCCAGCAGCCCTTGGGGCTGCTCTGTCTATGGAGTAGCCATTTTCTTACTCCTTTATTTTCCTAATAAACTTATTTTCAGTTTACTCTATGGACTCGCCCTGAATTATTTCTTGCATGAGATCCAAGAAGTCTCTCTTGGGATCTGGATCTGGGTCCCTTTCCTGTAACATCAATAAATAATGATAAAATAAAATTGTATAGCAATATAAGTTCTAATTTTTCCTTCTGGTGCAAGTCCCCTGTGTTAAACAGGCCTAATTTGGAACAATCTTGTTATACAGATTGATCTGTGTGGAAGTGAGATCATCTGAGCTAGTCAAAATCAACCAAAGTGCTTATTTTTAAAGTGCTGATTAGGACCTCACCCCTAGACTTTAAAAAGAATTTTTTACCTCTGCCTTTAAAAGCAAAACCATTTCCAATTGGCATTATTTCTATTAATAAATTAATAGGAATGACTGTGCAGAAAAAAAATCCTTATTCAAAGTTCATCTGCAACTGAAACTTTCTTCTTTACAAGGTAAGATGGCAAGAAAAAAAAAGGAGCTTCTTGGGACATATAAAATCTGGTGAGAACATATTTTCTTAAAGAAAATTAACTGGCTCTCAAAAATGTCAAATTTGGATTACTATGCGATGTGAAGAAGTAAGTGGTTCTTATCAAATGTGAAGCCCGTGTAAAATACATGATGGCAGTTACAAAAGTCATAATGAGTTTCACTGTTACTGCCCACAAATCCTTGTACATAGGCAAACAGCCACTGCTAACTATTTAAAAAAGCAAATATTTGTGAAGAAAGGCTTATGCAAACTAGAAACTAATTACCAACATTTGTTTCCAGCCAATTTTTGCAAATTAAAATTCTAGCTCAACCAAGAGAGTGTTTTTAAAAATAAGCTGGATTATCAATATTTATAAGTGACTAATCATTAGAAATGATATTACATACTTAAACTGTAACTCACCTAACTTTTCCCCCACTTTTATTTGTACAAAATGTATGTTATTCATGAAACATTCTAGCAAAATAGCTACAAATTTCCTTAACTCTACAAACATCCCTAATTCTGGTAAATCAACCTATATTTAAGTATTTTACATGGCCAAAACCACAAAATATTTGTTCTCCTAGTCTACGTCATTATATCATTCCTATCAGTTATAACTACAGTAATTACCACTTATTTCACGTATAATCGCTAACTTTTTGTTTTCAATACAGATCCATGGCAGTATACAGGCACACCTCAGAGAAATTGCAGGTTTGGCTCCAGACCACTGCAATAAAGTGCATATTATGATAAAGCAAGTCACATGAATGTTTTAGTTGCCCAGTGCACATAAAAGTTACATTTACACTGTAATGTAATCTATTAAGTATTCAATAGCATTATGTCTAAAAAACAATATACATACCTGAATTTAAAAGTACTTTATTTCTGAAAATTATTCATGATCATCTGAGCCTTCAGTGAGTCATAATCTCTTTGCTAGTGGAGGGTCTCGACTAGATGTTGATGGCTGCTGTCTGATCAGAGTGGTGGTGCCAGAGGTTGGGGTGGCTGTGGCAATTTTTTAAAATAAGACATCAATGAAGTTAGTGGCATTGATTGAGTCTTCATTTCATTAAATATTTCTCTGTGGCATGTAATACTGTTTGATAGCATTTTGCCCACTGTAGAACTTCTTTCAATAATTGGAATCAATCCTCTCAAACTCCGCCACTACTTTGTCAACTACATGTATGTAATATACTAAATTATTTGTTGTAAGTTCAACAGTGTTCATAGCATCTTCACCAAGAAGAGATTACATCTCAAGAAACCATTTATTTGCTTATCCATAAGAGGCAACTGAGGTTTTGTTTTGTTTTGTTTTATTTTGTTTTGTTTTTACCTCCTTCCATGAATGACAAGTATTCTTAATGGCATCTAACATGGTGAATTCAAAGTTTTTCAATTTATTTTGCCCAGATGCAAAGGAATCACTGTCTGTAGTAGCTGTAGCCTTACAAAATGTATTCCTTAAAAAATAAACTTTAGGCCGGGAGCAGTGGCTCACACCTGTAATCCCAGTACTTTGGGAGGCCGAGGCAGGTGGATCACGAGGTCAGGAGATCGAGACCATCCTGGCTAACATGGTGAAACTCCGTCTCTATTAAAAAAAAAAATACAAAAAAAATTAGCCGGGCGTGGTGGCGGGTGCCTGTAGTCCTAGCTACTTGGGAGGCTGAGGCAGGAGAATGGCGTGAACCTGGGAGGCAGAGCTTGCAGTGAGTCGAGATCGAGCCACTGCACTCCAGCCTGGGGACAGAGCAAGACTCCATCTCAATAAATAAATAAATAAATAAATAAATAAATAAATAAAAATAAACTTTAAAGTCAAAATTAGACCTAATTAATGGGCTGCAGAAATGCAAGCAGGCATAAAAACATTATTCTCCTTGTACAACTCCAGACTGCTGGGTGACCAGGTACATTGTCAATGAGTGATAATATTTTTAAAGAAAAAATTTTTTTAGCAGTAGATCTCAACAGTGGACTACAATAGTTAGTAAACCATGCTGTAAAACAGATGTCCTGTCATCCAGGTTTTGTTGTTCCATTTATACAGCTTAGGCAGAATAGATTTACCATAATTCTTAAATGCCCTTAAATTTTCAGAATGGTAAGTGAGCATTGGCTTTAACTTACAGTCACCAACTGTTTTAACCCCTAACAAGACAGTCAGCCTGTTCTTTGAACCTTTGAAGCCAGGCATTGACTTCTCCTCTCTAGCTATGAAAATTCTAGATGGCATCTTCTTCCAATATATGGTTATTTCATCTACATTGAAAATCTGTTGTTCAGCGAAGCCACTTCATCAGTTATCTTAGCTAGATCTTCTGGATAGCTTTCTACAGCTTCTGAATCAGTATATGCAGTTTCACTTTGCATTTTTACCTTATGAAGATGGCTCTTCCCTTAGATCTCATGAACTAACCTCGGCTAACTTCAAACTTTTCTTCTGTAGCTTCTTTATCTCTCTCAGCCTTCACAGAATTAAAGAGAGTTAGGGCCTGGCTCTGGATTATGCTTTGGTATAAGGAATGTTGTGGTCAGTTTGATCTATCCACAGCACTAAAACTTTTTCTATATCAGCAACAAGACTGTTTCACATTCTTATCATCTGTCTATTCACTGGAGTGGCACTTTTCATTTCCTTTAAGAACTTTTCCTTTGCATTCCCAACTTGGCTGACTGCCTCAAAATGCCTAGCTTTTTGCCTATCTCAGCTTTCAACAAGCCTTTCTCACTAAGCTTAATCGTTTCTAGCATTTGATTTAAAGTGAGAGACATGTGATCCTGTTTCACGTAAATACTTACAGGCTATTGCAGGGTTATACGAACTGGCCTAATTTCAATATTGTTGTGTTTCAGGGAAAAGGGAAGTCTGAGGAGAAGGAGAGAGAGGGTAGAAGAGCCAGTCAGTGGAGCAGTTAGAACACACACATTTATTGATTAAGTTATCCATCTTATAGGAGTGGTTTTTGGTGCAGTGCCCCAAAACAATTACAGTGGTAACATCGAACATCACTGACCACATCAAATTAATGTCAGTAAATTATTGAATAGTGATTGTGGAGATGAGGAAATGTTTGAGAGGTAAATTATTGTATAATTACTTAATAAATAAATTCATTAGTTAGCAAGTGAAAAAAATGATGACCACAGATCACTATAACAGATGTAATAATAATAAAAAGTTTGAAATATTGAAAGAATTATCAAAATGTGACACAGAGACATGAAGTGAGTGCATGACCTGCTGTTGGAAAAATGGCGCCAGTAGACTTGCTCCACACAAGATTGCCACAAACTTTGAATTGGGAAGAAAAAAAAAAAGCAATACCTGTGAAGTTCACTAAAGCTAAGGGCAATCAAATGAGGAATGCCTGTAGCTGAAGATAAATTCCATGATTTCTTAACAGATTGAGTATACGGAAGAAGTAGGAAAAGGTAAAAGAGAGAAGCACAGAGACACTAAATGTATAAGTAATTATTCATTTAGTTTTGTAAGTGTCCTGGTTTGCATTTCAGGAAAAAGAACAAAATCTATCAATCGACATTTTTGTGCCTATTACAATTGTCCCTCAGTATACTTGGTGTATCGGTTCCAGGACTACCTGTTTATACCCAAATCCAGGCACATTCAAGTCCTGCAGCTGGCCCTGCAGAACCTTCATATGTGAAAAGTTGGCCCTCTGTATACACGTGTTTTAGATCCTACAAATATTGTATTTTAGATCAGAGCTTGTTTGAAAACAGTTTGTGTATAAGTGGACTCTTGCAGTTCCAACCCATGCTGTTCAAGTGCTGACTGTACTCTCAAGCTAGTTCACATTTTCTAATTTAATCCTCAAAACGATGCCTTGAGGAAAAATAATAATGACAGAAGATGCAGAGAGAGGGCACTGAAGCTTGTCCAAGTTTACAAATAGGGTCTCCATGCAAGTGTTCACAATTTTCATCTTTTAATTTCAAAACCAGTGATTTTCCCCCCTACTTTTACCCACATATAATAATAAATTTTAGGGTTTAATTCATTTTCTTGTATTATATTTTCATCCTATAGTTCTCCATTTTAACCCTAAAATTACAGAAATATTTCCTGTGGCTGAAAGAAATTAGTTAGAAACTCTTAGGTATTTTAAGTAAGAAGAATGCTACATGCAAAAAGTAAAGTCTGAAGAATGTATTTCAACCTTGAAAAAAAAACCCTCAGACTCAGTCTGCAGTAAAGTTCATTCAACATTAAGAAGCAGAAGCTATTTAAAGAGTTTAATGCAGAACACGGTAGAAAAGATGCCCATTGCCAAGTCCTTCACGGCTCACCATAAATGTGAACAGCAAAGTGCTATCCATTTTAAAAATCAATCAAGGTGATGCAGTGCTTAAAATGCAATTGATTTTGGCTAATTTGCAAGTAGAAAGGTTTAGAACTTGAATAATTTCTTTCCCACTTTAGCTGGTTCAACAGCCTACTCAATGAGTTGCCTAATTATTAGTCTTGTTTTTTTTTTTTTTTTCATTTATTTACTTTAGACAATTCCTGAGTGAGACAACTTTTGATTTATTTCAACTGGCTTTGGGTAGATGAAAGAGACCACAAACCAAACCAAACCAAAACAAAACAAAACAAAAAGCCACCAGGCAGGCCAAGCACGATGAAGAAAAACTTCAAATGCAAGAACTATAATTTTCAAACTGTGAGTTTGGAATTCTTAAAAAGCAAAAACCATTAAGTGACTCCATTTCAGCTACCTATTAGTGATCAGGTTGAAAAACAATGAGAAAAAATGGAAAGAAAATCACTGCAAATTCCATTGGGGTAGATTAGAAAGATGTTAAATTACTCTTTTTATCTGCCTTCTCTGATTAGGAAGCCTAAAGAGCTTACCACCTTTCCAAGGAGTCAGCATGTCACTTTAATGTTTTGCTGCTGTTGTTTGGTTGATTGCTGTATATATATATATATACATATATATATATATATATATATATATATATATATACATATATATATATATATATATATATATATATATATATATATATATATATATATATGTATTCTTGCTCTGTCACCCAGGCTGGAGTGCAGTGGTGTGATCTTGGCTCACTGCAACCTCCACCTACTAGGCTCAAGTGATCTTCCCACTTCAGCCTCTCAAGTAGTGGGGACCACAGGCACACATCACCATGTTGGGTTTGTTTGTTTGTTTGTTTTTTGTATTTTTAGTAGACACAGGGTCTTGCCATGTTGGCCAGGCTGGTCTCAAACTCCTAAACTCAAGTAATCTGCCCACCTCAGCCTCCCAAAGTGCTGGAATTACAAGAGTGAGTCACTGTGCCCGGCCTTTAGTGTTCTTTTAAATAGCATTCATAATCTTTTAAAATATGTTTTACAAATGAAACATTGTGTTTGAGTGACATGATGGGGAAGGAGCCTGCAGTCCACAACGTCTCTGGCTTCCTTTCTTGCATTTTCTCAGAATTACTCTTACAAGAGGAGAGACAGGGACATTCTAAAACTGACAAAAATAATCAACTATGATAAATATTCCTGTGCACCCAACCAAAATGTATTGCATACCTGTGTGCACCAAAGAGAGAAATACACAAATACAGAGATGAGACCCTATGCAAACATGCACACTGGTAAACATAAACAGTTGCAGATTTGAATATTTGTATCAGTTAGGAAAATGAGAACTCAGTAAAACTTTTCAGCAAAGTAAGTGGTTCAAAATACCTGCTGTTTTCAGAAATGCCTAATTAATCAGGAATCTTTTTCTCAAATTGTATATTATGGAAAGTAATTGCCCTACTTTCTTTTGATAAAATTATTGGTTTATCTGAATACAGTTACTTTAAAATATGCTTGTGATAGGCAAGTGTGTATCTTACTTTTCAATTTAATGAGGTTTTACTGAATATTCACACAATTATTAAAATATTTTCATAGACTTGTACTTAGTTATCTTATAGCTAAAGTTCTAGCAGCATTTAAATATTTTTTTAGAAATTTTAAAACCTGGTGAATTGTTAACAATTTTCATGCTGAAAGACTGTCTGTCAAACTGAAATAGCAACACAATGCAAGCCATTTTGTGACTCAGTTCTTGATTGCAGACAGCTGAGATTCAATAGCTAAAGGGGGAATTGAGGACACCATCCAGACGTCTGTAATAATTTCCCTCCTTTTTTTCCCCAAACTTGAATGCTGCATCAGTGTGTCTGCGTATTTCTTGTCTCTATAATTAAACAGGAGAGCAGAACTGATACACATCTTGATCATAAAAATTTACCCGCTCACTAGAAGACTCATGAACATACCAGCATAGTTATCTGGTCAGAAAACTTTGCTTATCATAATTCTCAAGGCCCTGGTTCTGACACCTACAAATGAACGTCTAAAGCTACTGTGGCTCATCATGATAACCTCAAAGGTATCCTGGAGACATGAAGCACCTTCAGGATGAGAGGAGATGCAGCGAATATTAGGACCAATGGAACCTTCTTCAAAGCCTGGTCTCCTCTGAGGTTCACATTCCTTATGGACACGTACACATGTAAATATATATACATATACATTCATACATGCATGCATATGTAATTTTTTGTGATGAATCAAGTAATGTACCTTAACATAGATACAATTCTGCAGCACTAGGCTATGTTTTCTGAAAGATAAGTAATATACTAAATAGGATTCTGCAACATAGCTGAATTCATGGCCTAGACTAAAGAGTTACAGGCTTTTCTTGAATCTTAAAACAATTCACGCAAATACACACATACACACCAAAGCATCACACACTAGCCAGCACATGAACACACACAGCCAACACTCCAGAGTTTTGTTCACGTCTATCACCTTGATGCCTTTATTCATGCTCAAACAGTTTTCATTCTGATCAATACTGCCCAACGCTGCTTTGTGACTCTTAACTCAGGGCATCAAAGCTGGCATTTGATAGGTCCTCTTAGCATTCTAGCCAAGGGGTCTTTTTTCTTTTTCCATTTGGCTTTCAGTGTCCAGGGCAATCTCCTGTTTAGAGGAAGCAATCCCATTCCAAGTCCCTGACCCTGGAAAGGAACACATATACTACTGCTATTTCATGTTATTTTCAGGTTTAACTACCAACGAAAATTCTGAGGCTTCTTTGAGAATCCTCCCAATTTCTCCTGCAACATGTCATCTTCCACTGGGTTCCATTTCCTTCTTCTGCCCAGTAAATGTTTCCAAACCTCCATTCAGTACATCGGTAGTACCTGAATTCCCCACCCACAAGCCAAATCCTGTTGTCTAACTATGTAGAACACACAGCAGTATGCAGTTATGGCCTTCTATCTGAAAGCATGGAACTGATTGACAGGTGAAAAACCTGGGTACAGAATGATTACAGAATAATTCTAACTTTTCAAGTAATTACCTCGTGCCATTTTTGTCATTTCCCAACTGCTCCAACCCTGCCCAACAATATGTGTGGGAGATTCTCTACCAGCACCATCAGCTTCAGTTAATCTAATGCCTGGCAAGGAGTTAGGAGTCTATCCCTAGTGGGTAGAGGTTGAACATACTTTAGTGCTCCACCAATTTAGGATAATGACTGGGTGAATTCTAGATCCTCTTAAGCATTCAGTTGGAATTGAACTTGGCTGGTCTTTGTCATTCTCACAGTCAGGCATATAAATAAATAAATGTGGTCATCTATTGATCCAGATAGAAACATTCACTATACATCACTATTTCTAAGAAGCTCAACAAAGTTGACCTCTAATGTATGAATATCAAAAAGCAATCCCATTAGAAAGGGTACACTTCTACATCCACTGCCAGGTCAATGCTTCTAACTACAGCATTTTCCAGTCTGACCTTATTTTAAAGGCTGTTACTGATGTTCCCACACCTTTCATGGCCAAGCCCATACGGACTATTTATTCTCTATTCAAGGAGCATGGATACATAATAAACAAAGTAATACACATATCAGCCCTCATGGAGTACATGCTTATGAAAAACAGAGACACTAGAATAAATTTAAAAAAACAATATTTAAGGTATTATGGTAATGAATGTTATGAAAAAATATAATATTGGATAAGAAAAGAGAACACACATCAATGCACTGTTTTAATATACTCCCTGGTGATGTGATATTTGAGCCCAGGCTTGGGTGAAATGAGACATTCAAATATGTGGAAAAATGTTCTAGGAAGAAAGACCTGCAAGAAAAAAGACCCAGAGATATATGGGCCATATGGGAACAGAGCTCTCAGAACTTACTCTCATCCTTAGTTATTTGGGACTTTGTGACACTTAGACAGAATCCAATTGGTTTCACCAAAATTTTCTATAAAATTTTATTTTTAAAAAAATAGATTTTTTCCTTCTTTCCTTCCGATGGCATGCTCATCGCTCAGTTCTTTATAACATCTTACAAAGAAGGGTCTCCAGGGTGTGCTAGAGTTCATTATTGGACTCCAAAACTCCCAGTCATTCTCCAATCCAGTTCATTCTATTGTTACAAAAATTATCTTACAAAAACAAAGATGGTAGAAAGATACAGTCCAGAACACAATGCTACTTCTGAGTTCTGGCCTTAGAAGCACTCCATAATTTCACACTTGCCTCCCTCTGCAGGCTAAACTACTGAGGTATATTTAAAGTGTCAACTTGTCTAAGTAGTGACTATATCCCCTTTTCAAGAATCTCCTTGCCTGTATGACTCCAAGTTACAATTTGCCACAAGAGAATTCTATTCATCATTTGGAAGGCAAAGTAAAGATACAGTCATTCTTCTCCAAAGATCATGTCAGTAGGATATGAGAATAAACAGACACAGAAGTGCTGGCAGGCTCCACCTTATCCTTGATCTCCCTGTTCCACAGTTAGCTTTTTCCCAACTGCTGGCTCTGCTGATAGAATCTCTAACCCCTCATGATACATAAAGGCCGCCCACTTCCCCAGCTCTCCTCCATGGTGCACAGCATCAGCTGGAGGGACCTGCTTTTCCAGATCCTTTTGCAAGTTATAATTTGCCACCCACATCAGTGATTCAGAAGTCTTAGGAATTGACATTTTTCTGATTCTACATCTCCCCTTTTCAAACTTTCCCTTCCTCCTGTGGTTGGGTCAGGTCTTTTTCCTATAATAAATCCCTTATTCCACAATACTCAGCTACTCAGTGATTCACCATCTTTATTAAATGCAGACTCATTCAGCCTCTCTCTCTCTCTCCCTCTCTTATCTCTCTCTCTCTCTCTCTTTCTCTCTCTGTCTCTCTGTCTCTCTCTCTCTCACACACACACACTTACTTCTAAAACACTTTTATGTACACTTCTATTGAAGCACATATTCTTGCCCTGTGAGTGAGAAAAGGTTAACACTTTATTAACTTTTGACTTCTTTTTTTCCCTTCTAAATGTGACTGTGGAAATTGGTAGTCATGTAGGAAATGCAATTCCAGTACCACTTGCCTAGTGAGCAAATACGGTCTGTTCTGCTCCCACATGTACACTTCTCTAACACTGATTACCTTATACATAATCAAGACTAGAAAATAATGGAAGTTCACATGCAGGTTTTTCTAGGGAAAGGAGCCAGAATAGCCAGAGTACAATTGTAAGTTTCATCAGAAGAGGAAAAACTCCTTAGTTCAGCTGCTATACTGATAGAAGCACTTTCAGCTGTACTTCACGAGAGTAAAAATGAGTACCTGTGGCCGGGCGCGGTGGCTCACGCCTGTAATCCCAGCACTTTGGGAGGCCAAGGCGGGCGGATCACGAGGTCAGGAGATCGAGACCATCCCGGCTAAAACGGTGAAACCCCGTCTCTACTAAAAATACAAAAAATTAGCCGGGCATAGTGGCGGGCGCCTGTAGTCCCAGCTACTTGGGAGGCTGAGGCAGGAGAATGGCGTGGACCCGGGAGGCGGAGCTTGCAGTGAGCCGAGATCCCGCCACTGCACTCCAGCCTGGGCGACAGAGCGAGACTCCGTCTCAAAAAAAAAAAAAAAAAAAAAAATGAGTACCTGTGTGCAGGGCTCTCCCCAGAGATGTTTGCTGCCAGTTTTGCACAGCCTCCAGCTTGTGGCACGTTTCTCTTGATCCTGTGACCCCTAAATGGGAGCTCCGCTGGCTCAGAGCACAACTTGCTCTGCATCATCCCAGTACCCGCAAGCCAGGATATACAACCTATTGTTCTGGCAATTTTAAAAAAATTATCCTCTGTGGCCATCACCAATCACACTCATCTGCCTGCTTTGTCATTTGTGTTATATTTCCACATACAAATTAATATTTTATTTAAAACTTTAGTAACAAAGTTAAATAGGTTTTGAATCCCTGCCCATTTCTATTTCCAATAAGCCGTGTTATTTTTAGTGTGCAGTTTTGAAGAAAAAAAGATTATCCAATAACACACACATTGTTATGCCAGAAATATCTAGGCATGACTTTATCTCTTTACATGAATCTATAGGACAGTAATATTGATATTTGTTAACACAATAAAATTATGTGTTTTTATGAGTATACATATGTCTATGTATACGTTTATCTTATGTATTGATTTAAATACCTCTTATGTGTGTGAATCTTTGCCTCAAGTTATGGAAAAAATATTGAATAAAGTTGACAAAGTGAAAGTGAGAATTGACACTTGTCAAAGTAAAATTGACAAAGGAAAGTTCTGAAGCATAGCTAATTAAAGCTAAATTGTAAAGTAAAGTAAACTTGACAAAGTGTAAGTTCTATTAAAGCATAGTCTATTAAAGTGTGCTTTAATAGAACTTACAGTTTGCAAGAGAGACATACCATTGAAATTAAATACAATCCTATTTGCATAATAGTAGAAGTTGGAGATTTTTCCAGAAATCTGCTCTTGAGGGGACCTAACCTGTTCTAGTGGTCAGGAAGATTCTCCTGAAGAAAACAGTATTTATGATAAGATCTGAAAGGTGAGGAGGTCTTCAGAAGAATGAAGTAATGGTGAAAGACAAACAACATGTATGAAGGTGGTGAAGTAAGAGATGATGTAAAAATTCAAAGAACTAGAAGAAATCAGAATTTGAAACTTTGAGTTGAGGGGAAATATTCCCGGGGATGTGGTAAGAAGATACAAGTAGGACAAAGGTCCCAGACAGTCTTGCTAGTGACTGTAAGGAGTTGGAACTTTATCCTGATGGCAATAAAGAATTACTGAGAAATCTTAAGGAAGGGATTGTCTAAATCAGAATATGCTATTAAAAGATTACTGTCTTTATAGTAGATGAATTGCAGATACAAAATACTATAGTATGTAAGACATTTAGAAGCTATTACAGAAATTTAAAAAAAACAGTCTGATCAAGGACAAGAGAAATGGGGTTAGAAGAAAGTGGCCTTGTAGATGGAAGATTCAATAGGTCTTGGCAATTCATTTACTGTCATTAGTGGATAGGGAGTTAAGGCCTTCGGTGGAATCATCAATTACCCTTAGGTATATTTGTTTGAGTAACTGGAAGAATGAAGCAACTTAATGAAATGGGAAATCATGGAAAAGGAATAAATAGAAGGTAAAAAGGAAAAAAATGAATTCGAATTATAGATGTGCTCTATAAGCCTAAAGGGGAAATTTGTCCTGCAAGTATATATCTGGGTATTACAAGTATATTGATGGTATTTGGATCTCGAGAGTAGATGCCATTGCCCAATGAGAGTGTATGAAGTGAGAAAAGAATTCCTAAATTGAAATACCCACAATTAGGAAGTAACTCCAGGGGAATGAGCCTGCAAAGAATGTGAAAATGTAGGAAAATGAAAGGAGCATAACACCACAAAAGCTAAATGAATTATGTATTTTAAAGGTGAAAAATTAATCATTGTGGTTTAAAAAATTATGAATTCTCAGAACCCATTATGTGTAGTTTCATTGTCTAGATAGTGCATTGTAATTTCAATGAGATTGGCTTCAATAGAGGGGTGTGGTAGAGGTCACAATACACAACAGAGGTGTCAATAAAGATTGACACGGAAGCCAAAAATTGCAAAAGGAATAGAAGGTGACTTGAAAATTTGACTGTGAAAAGGAGACAATAGATAAGGCAATAGGGCAGGGTGGCATGGAAGATGAGGAAGGTTTTTCAGACACGATGCTATGTTTGTGTCTTCATGGCCATACGCTTGCCTTTGCTTCCTCATGACTTTTTTTTTCTTTTTTTCGGACTCTTGTTCTATTGCCCAGGCTAGAGTGCAGTGGTGCAATCTCAGCTCACTGCAACCTACGACTCCCTGGTTCAAGTGATTCTCATGCCTCAGCCTCCCGAGTAGCTGGGATTACAGGTGCCTGCCACCACGCCCAGCTAATTTTTTTTTGTATTTTTAGTAGAGACAGGATTTTGCCATATTGGCCAAGCTGGTCTCAAATTACTGACCTCAGGTAATCTGTCTGCCTAGGCCTCCCAAAGTGCTGGGATAACAAGCGTGAGCCAGACATTTTTTCTTGGAGTAGCAATATCAAATTACTAGGACATGACTCTCCTCTCCCATGTTTCTTTTGCTTTCAACTTTGGTTCCAGATCTCAACAGCCTCTGAAACCAATGTTACTGCTCTAGTAGATTTTTGTAATGCCTGCCCCTTCCATTGTTATTTCCTAGGTTGCCACATGTATCACAGTTTTTGTCACTTCTATACCACCCAGACTTCTTGATACTCACTGATATTTCTCTTCTGCCTTCTTTGCTACTGCCACCACTGTCATTAAGAGGTTTTTTAGCAGTCTTTTAGTACCCTCCTCCAACACGCAAAAAAATACAGATAGGCTCTTGAGTTTGTTATAGAAATTCTATTTTGGAACTTGTAATGGTTGATTAATTATGAAGTTTTATACTTAAAATTACCGGTGCTACAAAATGTGAACCTGAAGTCCAGCATAAAATTTCAACATCTCAACATTCTTCTACCTTGTGGTAACTTTTCTTGCTCTATGAAGAAATGTACCTGACCAAATCCAGGCTCACTTACAGGAACCATTGGCCTCATCCTCACCTACCAGTTTCTAAATGCTCTTAACCTTTCCTCCCAAGATCACAAGTGTGCCTGTTGATACTTAATTGTGTCCAAGGAAGGCACAGAAATTCGGTATCATCATTCCTAACTAACCACCACACAGTCATTTATCCTCTTGCAGATGAAAAACATATTGTTGACATCCTCCCCCAAGTTAACTGCCCCCTCAAATGAACCTTGGAAACGTGCTTTAAAGGAAACCAAGAGTAAACATCACTTGAAAAAGAGCAGTGTGAAATGTGCAGCATGTTTCTCAACATCTCATCATAGCAAAGAGTAATCATCAAAGGGAAACCAGTCAAGGTTAAAAGCAGCACTGAAAACTGATTCATTTGGTAAACAAGAATAGGTGTAATTATCACAAAAGCAAACTTTGCTAAGGGGATAACTGTCAGAGCTCTTGCAGTAAAAGGTCTCTTTACCATTTTAATCCGACAGGCTGAGAGTTCCCTAGTGAAAACAATTCTCAATAAAATCACAAATGTAGCTCCAGCATTCTTTTAAACGGTCGTGTCAGCCACGGCTACCAAAACAAGCTTAACATTTACAGTTCGAATGACACTCGTAGATTGGCTGATAACACAGATTATGAAAAATCCTTTAGCACTATGTTTTTATGTATTGGTCAATACTCTATCAGCAGCCACACTGTGAAAAGTTGTGTTTATTTGCTTACTGAAAGTCAGATGGGCCTGACCCTTGAAAGAAACCAAAATCAAATTTCAGTGTGGGATATAATCATGTATCCAGAACCTTTAAAAACAGGAGTGAACTTTCAGGGGACTCCAGGTGACTCTTGGCTCTATTCTGTAAAGGAACCCTTATGGCATTTTTGAATCACTACTGTAATATTTCTCATGGGTTTTCAAGCAAAACCCTCATTTGGAAAAGATGGTAATTGAATTCAAGAAAGGAGAAGTAACTTGTTCTAGGTCACACAAAATAATAATAAGCCTGACTCAAACCCTGGACTTTTGACACTCAGGCCACTGCTCTTTTTATTATTCTAGGATATCTTGCTATCTGTTGGAACTTGATGTGATGAAAGTCATATCCTAGCTCAGCACTATTCAATATGATATCCACAGGCCACATGTGGTCCCTGGGCAGTGGAAATGTTGTTAATGTGATTGAATTAAAATGGAAAATTTAATTGTTTTTAATCTTAATTAATTTACATTTGAGTTGCCATGCCTAAATCTAGATAGTAGCTACCACATTAGACAGTGCAGTAGGAGTATGCAGTAGTCAGCCTACTCAGTGTCCCGGCTATCTGTCTCTCCCTGTTCCCAGTTAAGCTGACACAGGAATGGAGAGGATATGAGATTTGACTGTTGACTCTTTGAAACAGTGGCAATGACTTGTGTTTCCCTTTATTTCATATAGATTCCAACACCTGGCTTTATACGAAGTAGGCACAAAACAAAAATCTGTTGATGCTATGTATATATTTGCTTTAACAAATGCCATGGGTAGAAAAGAGCACAGCTTAGAAATTGCTTCCCAGCCGGGCGCAGTGGCTCACGCCTGTAATCCCAGCACTTTGGGAGGCCAAAGTGGGCGGATTACCTGAGGTCAGGAATTCAAGATCAGCCTGGCCAACATGGTGAAATCCTGTCTCTACTAAAAACACAAAAATTTGCCGGGGATGGTGGCAGTTGCCTGTAATCCCAGCTACTCAGGAGGCTGAGGCAGGAGAATTTCTTGAACCCGGGAGGCAGAGGTTGCAATGAGCTGAGATCATGCCACTGCACCCCAGCCTTGGCTGCAGAGCAAGACTCCATCTCAAAAAAAAAAAAAAAAAAAAAAAAAAGAAAAGAGAAGAGAAAAGAAAAGAGAAGAGAAAAAGAAAAAGAAATTACTTTCCTAAAATTGTCCTACTTGTGCCTTCCAGCAGAGGGCACCCATACACAGTTGTATGATCTGGACACAATTCCCATGTAATACAACTGTCAGTGGTGTTCACCGCCTCCACTGCCCACATGGTGAAAACATGTCCCCTCTTTATAATAAGCCATTTATCTCTGTCTAGAGAAGAAACTTGGCAAGGTCAGTTCACTTTTTTGAAATGAAAAAAAAATAATGGACAGCATTATTGATTTGACTTTCCAGATGGCTATTTAAATGGTAAGTGTAAGCTCTCCATTATTAAAAACAGAAAGAAAACTGACAGGAAAGTTAAAACCAGACTACAACCACAGACTGGCCTTTAATTATCACTTGCTTTTATTGTAAATTTTTTTTTCATATTTCTTATGTAGCTCTCCCCTGAAGTCCCCTCAAAAACAAATGGAATCAGCTGTTGCTGCAGTGTAACCATGTTTTCCTGTTTATTTTATTTTTGTTTGTTAGTTTGATTTGTTTCCAGAAAAGCAGAGCCATTGATGCCATATGTTATCAAATAAATACCCTTTTTCCAGGGGAGGTCTTTTTATTTTCTTATTTTTTTAAATAAGTAAATTCTTAAAGATTTAAGGAAATAGATGGCTTAGAACAACTACCATCAGTCAAAAACTCTTGTTAAATAAATCTCAAGGGAGCTACTTTACAAATCCTTGCAATGCATGTCAAATTCCATCGACTTCTTAAGAGGCCAAAAGGTCCTTTGACAGGGGCTCAGAATGGTTTCATCTCCTTAAGCTGTCCTCTTTGAAGCAAACAGTTTTGATGCTCTGAAAACCAACATTTATATCTATTGCTCCAGTCCCCAAGGATCATAATTTATTTGAACTGAAGAATCAATGATGTTACCTACGTGGTTTATTTAAAGACAATTTTGTTGTTTCTATGTAACCTTAGTGCTGTCTCAGGAATTCTTTTAACTCAAATGATGATTTTACTTCATATATTTAGCTTTCTGTCTGTTCTGATATTCTAAATTCAAGAAAAGTGGCTAATTGTTAATTGGAATTTGTCCCTAACAACTGAACCTTATGCTGTATGCCATCGGTAACGGCCTTTGAGGAACGTTATTAAAACCAAGGTAACGTATGCCCATACACGAGGGCTAAGGGAAATGCATGGCGATTGTAAATATTTATAATAGGCCTAATCTGGTGGTACTGAGCAATCATTCAATTAATAAATCATGAATGGAAAAATATACCTGTGTAAATATTGTCTTCTGTATTTAAAGGCTACGCTTTTGCTTGTTGCAATAGCAGTGAGTTTCACAATGTTGCATTTGGAGATGATCTTAAATCACAGTGGCAATTACTGAGACTTTTAGAGTCTGTAGTCAGCAGTACCATAATTTTCATTTAATAGGCTTAAGAATTGGCCTGTCATCCATCCTTCAGAGCCTTCAACTGAATGATATAAGCCCAAGATACTACCCTTTAGATCTCAGGAACAGCCATGAAGAGAATATATATATACCAAGATTTGGGGGATTCTAAGATTATACTTAACACAATTTCTAAAAAAGGGCTAACCCTACCGAGCTTTCCAAATCCCCAAGGCCCAATTATATTTCTTTGCTTCAGCATCACTTTTCAGATGTTTTCCCCACTGCTGGTGAACACAGATAACATTGGGGTCACTGGTGATGAGAATTTTTGAAAAACAGGTAATTAAATATTAAGCTACTTGTAACTTATTAGTGATCACAATCATCATTTTCTGAAAATGTTAGTATTGTTCACAAAATCATGTAATCTTAGAGTTGAAAAGTCTTCAGGTGTAAAATAGTCTAAAGTATTTGCTGCAGTTTAATCTTTCTTCCATATTTAAGTTCTTCAACTATTTTAAAAGAGCCACCATACCTGCCCCTAGAATTTTCTCTCCTCCAAGCTAAATATCCCTGGTTTCTTTCTACTGTTTTAAATATGTGGTTCCCCTACCCTCAACCTCCATCCAACCTCAGTCACCTTTCAAATCTAATAGGCCTTCAGATGTATTAGATTTTAAAAACAGGCACATAACACCTGAATCATAATAAGCTTACAGTCACATTGGAATCTTGAGTCTTTTTGCATGTGCTTCACACAAGAAGCTATAGCTTCTAGAATCTCATTTTGATTAGATTTTTTGAACTAAGAGCAGTTTTTCATAGTTCTCATTACAAAATACAGATTATCTGTTGTTTCAAATGCTTTTATCTTTTTGTCTCTTAATTTGAGTCAATGATGTCAGAAGAATATTTAAGGTATGTGTATCTAAAGCAACAAAAACATGTTCATAGTAAGACATTATGAGAGAAAAGGGAAAAAAATAGACCAAATACTTTTATTTACTCTTCTCTGTAGGTTAGTAGAGATTTATGGATTCCAGTAAATACAGTTATGTAGTCAGAAGCTCTTTTACATAAAGATATATTCAAGCTGAAGTTTTCACTGACTGTAAAAACATTGAAGAATGATTTTAATACATTTAAAGTCTTACTTAGCATAACTAAAGTTTTATTTTTAGGAAAATGTAAAACTAATTACTTTTAGTAAGAGTATTGGTTAAAAAAACCTGGAAAATTAATTTAGTTTACAATGAGATCCAACAAGTAGTTTTGAGACCTATGATTTTTCTACTGTATTAAAAATCACTAACAACCATTATAATTTATTATAATATTTTAGAGAATTTTTCACAAGTTATCAAATTTTTAAAAAGCTTTTAAGAATTTACATGTATGTATATACCACAAAGATTGTGTCTAATCAAAATGATTACATATTTAAAGTCATTCATGTTCATTAAAGTAATCAATATTTTAAGAAATCTAAGCGGCCGGACGCGGTGGCTCACGCCTGTAATCCCAGCATTTTGAAAGGCCGAGGCAGGCAGATCAAAAGGGCAAGAGATTGAGACCATCCTGGCTAACACGGTGAAACCCCGTCTCTACTAAAAAATACAAAAAAAAAAAAAATTAGCCGGGCGTGGTGGCGGGCGCCTGTAGTCCCAGCTACTCGGGAGGCTGAGGCAGGAGAATGGCGTGAACCCGGGAGGCGGAGCTTGCAGTGAGCGGAGATCGCGCCACTGAACTCCAGCCTGGGCGACAGAGCGAGACTCCGTCTCAAAAAAAAAAAAAGAAAAAAAAAAGAAATCTAAGCATACAAACACAGTATTTGTCAATTTAATATTAGAAAAAACATATAACTATTTTAACTAGTACACATTTTTAATAAAACTGAAGAAAATGTTCTGATGAGAAAGAACATTAAAATAATGCTTACGGTTGAATTTGTTTTGTAAATATCTCAAAATCAGAAGATTTTGAACTTAATTTTGTTAAATATCATTTTACGAATTAATATCTAAAGATATCTCTTAAGCTAAAAATCCAAGGTTATTTTATTCCTTGAATGCATGTTTCACTCTACTATTTGTCACTAGAAACTTTCATCATAGTTCATTGATTTACTTATCCCTAACTCAAAATTGTGCTAGATGCTGACATGTCACTAAACTTTCAATGGATAACTGTCTTTAATTCCCCAATGGAAACGTGATCTATGAGGAATAGATTCAAAGTTTGCAAATTAACATATGTTTTTGGGGAATGTGTGGTGTTTTGTCAAACAGCAATACTTCCTTTGAAAACCCAGTGATAGTTGCTCTTCCTTCTCGTTTCAAATCTGCTCTATTCAAGTTTATATAATTTATGCAATGCTATTTGCAATATCCAGCTGCCTTGTAGTTCTATATATTTAAGCAATATAAGGAAATTTTCAGCAGCATTTTTACTTTTAGAAGTGCTACATTGCACATAAAGGCCTCATGTTTCAAAGTATTATAAATCACTAAACAGTCCTCCTATTTGGGTTGCGTTTGGAGGCAAATAATATTTTTAATGCATAAGCTATTTTCAGATACTATATTTTGTATTGATTAAATTGGAAAATAATCAGGCTTAAGCAAAATAATTCCTTCTAATCATTTTAAGTGATGTGGTAAAACATTTCACATGAGCTGGAAGTTCATTCTGAAGCAAAAGAAAGGTTAGCAAACCATCTAGTCAGTTTTACATACAAGTATAGAAAAAGACAGTCATACAAAACCATGCAGGTAGAAACAAACATAATTTGTTCTCTCTCTTCTGGGGCTTACCAGCTTACACCATATTGCTAACAAATTATATAAAATTGCAATCAGGTATGTTTTCCAGCTTCTCACCTATCCATAGGATCATAATAATTATTGCAATTTTTAAGCGTAGAATTGCAAAGACTACCTCAGGGGATCATACAGTTGTACAGCATCAATCAATAATTTGTAAGCATGTACATAAACTATTTTTTTAAATCAATATTTAGAAATTTATGAATCATATAGTAAGCCAAAAGGACAATATTACACAAGCTACAAATTTTTAACTACAGATATTGTATCAATTCTACTTGTGTAGGATTTTCCAAGGATTAGTGTAGTCTTTAAATATGGTCAACATATAACATTGAGATTCAGCCTGAAACCCCTCAAAACTTCAACCTACATGGTATCTTTCTAGACACAGATGTATGTCTGAACCTTAACACCTAGAACCCAGTGTCACAATGCTATATACCTAGTTCTTATCACCCAAATGTCTAATTCTCCTCATTTGGTTTACTGGCAGAAAATAAGTCTATCCCTAAATTAAGTAATAAATTTGTCTAGATCATTCTTATTTCAGATTGCAAAACAGTGTATTATTCTATTTTGAAAAATATACTTGTGTGTGTGTATGTGTGTGTGTGTGTGTCTGTGTGTGTGTGTAATTAGAACCTATTCTGGTTTTGGTTCTTGGGACTCCTGATAATTTTACTTTCTGTATTTTCCATCTTCCCCACTTGAGCCATGCATTATAATATAAATGAACAATAAAAGTTATTACTAACCCAATAATATAATAATAACCCTACTAAGTATCAGCAATGAACATATTCGATCTAAAAAAGTCCTGTCTTTCCCCTGCCTACATTCCTATACTAGCTGATAAATTTTTTGAAATGTTAAATTGCATCATAAAATATTTCCCTTCTATGTGTTCATATGCATAGAAATGCAGAGAAAAAGAGAGAACTCATGTGACGCATTATAAAAAATAAAATTATCTGTCCTGCAATACAGCATTATGGTTGCACAGCAACCATAAATCTGTCTTTAAACTACCTAGGTAACATCATTGATTCTTTAGGTCCTTAGGGACCAAGAGCATTAGATATAAGTATTAGTGTTCAAAGCTTCAAAAGTGTTTGCTTCAGAAATGACAGCTTCTACAGATGAAACAATTCTGAGTCCCTGTCTAAAGACCCTTGGCCTTTTAGGAAGTAGGCAGATATTTGATATGCATGGCAGGGTTTTGTAAAGTGGTTGTCTCAAGTGATATATAAATTAACCTTTTGCTAGATTTCTCCTGAGAGGGTGTGGACTTGGCAGCTGGGATTCAAGATCAGAGCCCCGTACTTAAAAAGATAACTCGATCATAAAGAGCATGAGACAGAGTGAAACCAAACTCTTTCAGCAGTGCACAGAGTTGGACATAGAAACATTAAAGCCAGTAACAATTGCCAAGGGACAGGGTACTGAGAGAGTTATCCAAAAGACAGGACATTAGCCCTTGATTGTTTCTTAAAAAGTAGGCAAAACTTAGATTTAGAAAATATCCCTCATTTTATATATTTATTTATTTAAGGAGACAGTCGCACTTTATTGCCCAGGCTGGAGTGCAGTGGCATGATCTTGGCTCACTGCAATCTCCGCCTCCTGGGTTCAAGTGATTTTCCTGCCTCAGCCTCCTGAGTAGCTGGGATTACAGTCAACTGCCAACACACCCAGCTAATTTTTGTACCTCATTTTAAGTCGAACATGTTGTATTCCAGAGTGGCTGGGCTACTGGTGTTTGTATTCAGTTGATCGGGTCATAGTATTATCTTATTCCATCAACATTTGATGTTTGTGAAATACAATTTCATGGAGCATAAAATTTCCTTTTTATAGGTTTTAGGTCTTAAACAAAGAAGCCATTGATGGAATGGAGATGGTTTTCACAAGATCTTGATCTACCAATATTAGGGCAAGACTTGGGAACAGACTAGAACCAGAATATCATGACATGTATATTAAACCAATATCGAGAATAGATAAAAATAAAAAAAACCTTGTTACAAACTGAATGTTTTATCTCCTCAAGATTCATATTTTGAAATCCTAACCCCCAATGTGATGGTATTAGGAAGTGGGGCTTTGGAAAGGAAATTAAGTCATGAGTGGGGAATCTTCATGAGTAGGGTTAGTACACTTACAGGAAAATACCAGAGAGTTAACTCACTCTTTTCCTACAATGTGAGGATACAGAAGTCAGCAGCTTATAACTTAGGAGAAATTCTTCAGCAGATTCCTACCACACTGTCATACTGATATCAGACTCCTAGCCCTCAGAACTGTGAGAAATAAATTTATATTCATTATAAGCCACCCAATTATGGTACTTTGTTATAGAAACCCAAACTGACTAAGACAAACACCTTGTCTGCTTTTCCCGTTCAGTGAGGTACTCAGAGCACACTGAATGCCCCAGCCACCTTTGACTCTCCTATCCCTCAATCTAGCATACTAAATGAGATAATCCTTTCAATTCCATGTTTAAATGCTGTTCAAATTCATTGTGCCTCTCTTCCAAAGCCTAGTTAGTAACCTCAAAAAATAATCTCCAAATTTTAGTAAGCTATACTGTCTCTACCATTCCTAATTTATCTTAAATAATTTTAGCATATAGTTCACTTCCCAAAATCCATATTTTACCTGCCCCTTCACTGAAAATTATTCTCCAATTCTTACAGGATAACATCTAAATTACCATTGGACTTTTAGTTTTATCTCTTATTCTTACCCACAAACAATCTCTGATTAGGAGTGAGCTTGTCATATTTTAATAACAGAAAGGAGGCCACAAACTGAGCGAATGAAGATAAACTACATAAGAAATAATGTCAAATAGGTGAAAGAGGAGCACATGTATGTCACCGAAGGCCGTGGGAAGGTATGGATTTAGTGTGAGTGTAATGGGAAGTCATTTTAGGCATTTGACTAAGGAGTGATTTGACTTGACAAGACAAGACAGGATCACCTTAGCTGCTTTGTGGCAAGCAGAAAGCAGGTGGGGAGAAGAGGGCAAAGGGATAGAGGAACAAGAGTGGAAAAAGGGGAACTTAGTAGGAATTATTATAAATTTACAAGGGAGATGGTGGTGGTGGTGGTGGATTGGTCAAAGTAGTAGTAAATGAGACAATTAGAAATGGTCAGATTTTGGAGATAGTTTTGAGTTAGAAATGCAGAATTTGCTAATGGATTGGTTGTGGTATTTGATAAAGAAAGATGAATTAAGGATGACTCTGAGTTGTTTGGCCTGAAAAATTAGAAGCATTTAGTTGCCATTTACTGATTGATATAGTGCAGATAATGTCAAGGATAAGTTTGGGAGGAAGATCAGATATTGGATATATTGTATCTGAGATATCTATTAGATATTACGCCTATTAGGTATTTAATTGGAGCTATTGATAGACACTTAATGTCTTATTTCAAAGGGTAGAAAAAAACTAGAATTATAAATATGAAACTATATTTAATGCCATGAAATTGAATGATACTACCAAGGAAGCAAATATAGATACAGATGAGAAGAAGTCCAAAAATCTGATCTCTGGGGCAATTCAATTCTACAGATTAGAATGATAAGAAAAAAATGAGCAAAGGAAACTAAGACAGAGAAGCATGTGAGGTAGAGCTAAGGCAACTTAAAGATGTTACAAGAAAGGGTGGCCAACTGTGTTTAAAGTAGGATGAAAATTGGACATGTATTTAGACATGAAAGTCATTGCCAATCTTGCAGCAATGATTTTGGTGAAGTGGTAGGGACAAAAGACAGATTAGAAGGATTTAAGAGAACCTGGGAACAGAGGACTTATAGAAAGACCATATTTTAAAAAAAGAAGCTTTAGTTGAATTTTGCTGCAAGGAAGAACAGATAAATGTGGAGCAGTAAAAAGGGGAAGATTTTTAAGATAACAGACATTATAGTATATCTGTATACTAATGGGAAAGATCCAACAAAAAGAAGAAAAATCATAACATAGGAGGATTTCTGGAGTAATGAACTTAGATACGTGAGAGAAAATAATATCTAGTGTTCAGAAAAAGGGATAGGAATTAAAGCATAAAGACTTCATCCATCATAACAGTGGCAAAGCAGAATATGTGTGAATTAATGTGTATTCGATAGGAAGATGAATGGTAAAGGTTTATTACAATACTCTAGGCAGATGAATGGTAAAGGTTTATTACAATACTCTTGCAATTGTTTCTATTTCCCAGTGAACTGGGAAATAAGATCATGTGCTTAAAGTAAGAGAGGAGAGTAGGGGTTGAGGTTTATAAAAAGAGGAAAGGGCATAAAACAGTCACATGGGAGAATAAATATTTATTCAAGAGTACTAGGGACCCACTTCAGGTTTGTGGTCAGAGAACTAAAAGGAGAGCAGGTAGATCGCTGGGAGTTTTCATACAGATCTGTTCAGCCTCAAGAGTTTAGGAATTAAGAAGGTAGATAATTAAACAGAATGGAAATTTTGTCTGATATTATGACAAAGTGAGATAGAGGCAGGGAGTTGAAAATGTGTGCAAGGGAGTGATTATGACAAGGGATAATGAAATTTAAATTACATGAGAAAAGATATGAGGAAAAGACTATTGCAGATAAATAGCAGACAGAAAAAAGAAAAATAAGATGTGGTAGACCACTTGAAAACTGGAATTACATGGGAGTTGGAAGTTTTCATAAGGACAAGTTCTAGCATATGGCCATGGTAATGAGTGCATGAGGAAAAGTAGAGGAAAACAAATCACTGGAAAAGAATTCAAATGAAGGTCTACATCATTGAAATAGTATCTATGTGTATAGTGGAATCACAAGGACTGTATGATTTCTGTATATTGGAAAGAATGACATGTAGCCCGAAGGAAGAAAAAGAAAAGAAGGGGGAGGAGGAAGAAAAGGAGGAAGGCAAGGCAAGGCAAGGCAAGGCAAAGGAAGAGAATGGAAGGGAAGGGAAGGGAGGAAGGAAAGGAAGGAAGGAAGGGAGGAAGGGAAGGAAGGAAAGGAAGGAAAGAAGAAGAGAGAGGAGAAAGAGAAAGAAAGAAATAGAAAAAAGGAAGAAAGAGAGAAAGAGAGAGAGAAAGAAAGAGAGAAAGAGAGAGAAAGAAAGAAAGAGAAAGAAGGAAGGAAAGAAAGAAAGAAAAAGAAAGAAAGAAGGAAAGAAAGAAAGGAAGGAAGGAAGGAGGGAAGGAGGGAAGGAAGAAGGGAAAGGGAAAGGGAAAAGGAAAGGAAGGGAAGGGAAAGGAAATGAAAGGAAAGGAAAGGAAAAGAAAAAAGAAAAAGGGAGGGAGGAAGGGAGGGAGGAAGATAGGAAAGAAGGGAGAGATGGGAAGAGTGTTGGAGTGTTTGGGGGATTAAAGTTGGTGCAGACAGTGGGAGGAGTGTGACAGAAGGTGTTTTGTCATGAGATTAAATGCTAGGAAATTTGTAACAGAAAGAATAAGAGCAAATGTCCCAATAGAAAAATAGTGTGGGAAATGTACAACATAATTCTAAATTTTGCCATAGTCACATTAATGAAGGAAAAAATAAACAAGTAAAATTAAGTTTAAAATATATATTTTATTTAATCCAATTTATCCAATCCAACAAGCGGTCAATATGAAAACATATTAATGAAACATATTACATTTGGTTTTGTGCAGTCTTTGAAATCCAGTGTATATTTTTCCCAGATAGCACACCTTAATTCACGTTAGCCACATTTCAAGTGCTTAATAGACACATGTAGCTAGTGGCCACCACATGTGACAGTAAAGATCTACGGCTATTAATTACATAAGGTTTGAGGTGGAGAAATCAGTTTCCAGGAAACCACCGATTAAGAATTTCTGAAGAAATAATGTCATCAGGGAGAAAAGTCAGACTTCTTTTAGATAAAAAAGATGAAAGAAACATTTAAAAAAGTGGAGGAGAAAACAGGACATTTTGCTGCTGAATGTCTGTGAGTGCCAGAGGACACATAGGAGGATTTTCAGGTCTTAAGAAAGGTGGCAGATGGTTAAGAAAAGAGGGTGAGCAGAGCTATATGAGGATTTGACTCTGCATGAGGACGATGACCCAAGAGTTTTGCGTGTGCAGGGGTGGCCAATAAAACCAAGAGTAAAATGAAATTTTGTCCTGGTTACCATGCAGAGAGTGATGGTAAAGGTAGGAGCCGTGGGGTAGGAGTAGGGGAAGAAGGGAGAGTATTGCCAGTTAAGTTCAGAATTTCAATGTCCTTCTTTACCCGAGCTGTTCAATGCTGAGGAGAAAGCTAGAAGACAATTTATCCAAACTTATCTGGGACTCCTAGCGAACTCCTGAATTAGAAAAACTTCTTTTGTTTTTTTCTGATTCTGAAGGTAGAAGACAGAGGTGAAGGGCAGGATTCTGCTCATTTTAATAGTTTCCTGCAATGTATTACTTGTAATGTATTATGTCCTACCTTGGAAGAACATGACCCAAGGCAGGACTTACAGAAATGCTAGATTGGGCTAGGTGCGGTGGCTCACGCCTATAATCCCAGCACTTTAGGAGGCTGAGGCAGGTGGATCACAAGGTTGGGAGTTCGAGACCAGCCTGACCAACATGGTGAAGCCCTGTCTCTACTAAAAATACAAAAATTAGCCGGGCATGGTGGCACATGCCTGTAATCCCAGCTACTCAGGAGGCTGAGGCAGGAGAATCGCTTGAACCTGGGAGGCAGAGGTTGCAGTGAGCCAAGATCGCTCCACTGCGCTCCAGCCTGGGCAGCCGAACAAGACTCCATCACAAAAAAAAAAAAAAGAGAGAGAGAGAGAAAAGAAATGCTAGATTGACATTTTCCTAAGTTTTCTGCCAATGCTGTTTATAAAAATAACACACGTTATTTCAAGCCCACCAGATTTTCTGAAGAAACAAAAATAATAATAGGTGCTTGCACTGACAGGAGTGGTTGACTCCAAGGAGAAGCTCTTAATCACCATAACTGAATGAATACCTTGATAATACCTTACCTTTGTATGGGTACAGGAATAGATATAAATAGGCTTAAACCTGAGATTGCTAACAGAATGGTATATCTGGGAAATTGATCCTAAAGATATAGTTTCACTCAAAAATGAACACATTAGAGCTGTTACCAGTCACTCTTGCCTGTTGAGCCAGCAGATAAAAAGCCAGAGCTGTTAGAAAAAAATAAAAGTGAGGGAGGAGTATTAGAAAAATGTAATGGTTTAGAAAGCAAATGGAACTTCTCAAAAGACCCTCTAGAATCCTCACCTGAATCAGGTGATCTTGGTGGCAGCAGGGCACCGTCAGGATGAAAGTCAGAAGGCTCCAGAAGGAATTGCTGCTATAGATTATGCTCTGTGTCACTGACTGCTAGTCTAAGTCATTTACTTACACTAAGGAGTTTGGGCTTTTTTTCTATACTTGCTGGAATTCTGTGACAACCCTCCTAAGCTGCTCTATAGTTTTTAAAAATTGTATCCGTGAACATTCTCACTTCATCTATTATTAGTCAAGGCTTCTTGGGTTGTACGTTAGTCCAGTCTCATGCTGCTTATTAGACATACTCGAAACTGGGTAAATTATAAAGGAAAGAGTTTTAACTGACTCATAGTTCCACATGACTGAGGAGGCCTCAGGAAATTTACAATCATGGCAGAAGTGGAAGCAAACATGTCCTTCTTCACATGGCAGCAGCAAGGAGAAGTACTGAGCAAAACAGGAAAAGCCCCTTATAAAACCATCAGATCTCGTGAAAACTCACTCCTATCATGAGAACAGCATGGAGGTAACTGACCCCATGATTCAGTTACCTCCCACCAGGTCCCTCCCATAGCACGTGGAGATTATGGGAATTATAATTCAAGATGAGATTTGCGGGGGGACACGGCCAAACCATATCAGGTTGCAAACAAAGAATCCGATTCAAGCTGATGTTGGCCAGAAAGAGATTACTATACAGAAGTTTCACGTGAAACCCAAGGACAGTGGGATTTCTAAGCATCAGAAAGGCATGGAAAACTATCTGAACTCTCACTCATGCCTCATCTCTCTAAGTTTGATGAATTATTCTGTTTCTCCTTAAATCTTATTGTCTTCTTTTTCTCTGCTCCATATGGTGGGTTTGGGGTTGTGTTTGGGGTTCTGTAAGTCCAGGTATAAGTATTTGGAGACAGCAAAACTATCCGTCACTCTTTCACCCTCAATTCCAGCTATCCAATAATAGAAGCCCAATTGGCTTAGCTAGGGTCAGTGGCTTACCTTAGTCCAGTGAATCGTGGCTGAGGGATGGTGCACTAAGGGGCAGACATACAAAATGGTTTAGGCCATACCATTAAGCAGATGGTCCAAATAAGATGGCCACAACAACCTCTGAACAAACCAGAGGGATCAGGCTTATCATTCTCATCCGGTATTTTAGAAAACTGAGACTGATTTCTCCAAGGGCACAAAGCTATTAAATGGAATCAGAACAATTGCCTCTGATTCCACATTCAAAGTCTGACATCTTCACCACCTGACTAAACTGATATATTGCCTCACCTTCACATATTTTAAACCGAACTAAAGAATTAGCCTTCAAAATTCAAATATAGATGAAATTGATGATTATTTTAGGAAGATATATTTCATTCATTGAAGTTTTAAAGCTGATATCCTTTCACCAGAATCTAAGTTGTATAAAAATGCAGATTTTTTCCCTTAAGTTTTATGTTGTCAATTGTCACATTATATGTGAGGATAGCTCATTTTTTAAATATACCAATGCTCTATCTTCAGGGTGGTGTGAGAATCAGTACATTTCATAAAAATTTGAGTGATGAACTACATATTCTTTCTTCTTCATTCCTAGGACACACTAGCAAAGAAAAACAGTAGGGAGTCCCCATTACTGTCTCCTTTCTATTTATTACTAGAAGTCAGTGGCATTGCTTTCATTTAATTTATGTTCAGGCTGTGGGAAAAGTTGTCATTAGTTACTGCAGACAAAAATAACAGCAATAGTGGAAGTCACCTTGATAATTCCACTTAAACTGTCATTTACCTTCAAAACAACTGGGATTTCATAAAATCCCATGAGATGTTTTGTTCAGGATTGTAATATTTTACAATAAAATGTTTGTAGGAATAATACATTTTAAAAATATAAACAGTAACAATTTTTTTACAGAATATCAGATGGACAATATCTAATACTTTTAATATGCTAGTTATAATACTGTTCTTAGCATTTGTATAATTTTTATTTTTAGAAATATCTAAAACATGTCCTTTTCGGTTATTTTTGCTTTTTCTTAATATAATTTCCATGTAAGCTCAAGTAGAGAATACAGACACCGTTCAGTCTGTAACAAAAACTTTCTCTCAGCAAGTCTACAATGTGCTAAACAAAAGTATGTACTAAGCCATCCTTTACATAGCACTGCATGTGAGTCAATATTCTGACCAATAAATAACCAAAGACAAAGAAGTACATCAGAAGATCCTCTATTCTTTTTTTTTTTTTTTTTTTTTTTTTTTTTTTTTTTTTGAGACGGAGTCTCGCTCTGTCGCCCAGGCTGGAGTGCAGTGGCGCGATCTCAGCTCACTGCAAGCTCCGCCTCCCGGGTTCACGCCATTCTCCTGCTTCAGCCTCCCGAGCAGCTGGGACTACAGGTGCCCGCCACCACACTCGGCTAATTTTTTGTATTTTTTTTAGTAGAGACAGGGTTTCACCGTGTTAGCCAGGATGGTCTCGATCTCCTGACCTCGTGATCTGCCTGCCTCGGCCTCCCAAAGTGCTGGGATTACAGGCGTGAGCCACCTCGCCTGGCCCAGAAGATCCTCTATTCTTATTCACTTTTCTTAAAACTCATAGAAAAGGCATTCTAGATTCTGGAGGTATGCATATGTCCACCCAACCCGTGGTCACTGGAGAAAACTGTCTCCCTTGTCACTTCTCTTCTCTCCCTTCTCAAATATTCTTTAGTAAGCGGCCTCTGCATGTTGCACCTTTGTCATTTATAATCACATTTTAATCCTGTTTATATAAATCTGGTTCTAGATGGAAACTGGGAAAGAGTTTGGGAGTAAGGTGAAGACCAGAGAAGGGATTTCAAACTCTAAGAGATGTGTTGATATATGACAGGGGGATATATACAGGATATTAGTGCTTTCACATGGTTAAACCTCACTTTAGACTTTCCTTTAGTGTTGTACATAGTCTCTGATCTATTTGCCCTAAAAATGTTTCTTTCTCTTCCCTGTATATGAAATTAGATGAGAGGTTGACAGAAGCTCAAAGCAGATATAGTACTGAATTAAATGACTGTTCCTGAGAGTAAAGAGAGAGAGAGAGAAAGAGAGAGAAATAGGCAGTTTTTGCATGGAAATCCACACCTGATTTCCCTCACTCACATGTCCACTGGTGTTTTCTATTTAAACTTATTTTCTCGGTCCTGGACCATCACAAGCCAGCATAGTCAATTGAATATACCTATACACACACACACACACACACACACACACACACACACACAAGCCACACAGTATTCAGGCGTCTGTGAATATAGGCTTTGTAGAACTGAAATAAATTATCTATACATTTCATGTTGTTGAATCAGTTTAATGTTTCTAGGCAGATCTACACTCCCACATTGATAGATAAGAGATTCTACATGAAAATCCCAAGTAAATTCTCCTAGGATTAAAAAAAAAAAGTTAGGAAAGAAAGAAATTCAGAATATCTGTCTTCAATCTTCTCATTTTACATATAAGAAATAAGACCCTGAGAGGTGATTTGGCCAAGGTCTCATCACACGTAGAGTGCGTTTTGAGGGGTTGTGCAGGGAGGGATAGGAAGCTTGATTACAGACTCAGAATGAGTCAACAGGCGACATAGCTACCTCAGAAGCTCGTTTAAATGATAGAATACATTATTCAACAAAGGCTGCCTTACTTTATTTTAGGTAGGTATATATCAGGCCTAGGCAGGGTAGCAGCAGGGACAGAGGAAGGGGATGAGACTAGGATTACTACCACAAGAATGAATGTCCTTTTAGCCAAATGCTTTGGAGCATCAAAAATGATTGCAGCTCTTCCTCTTCTTCTCTCATTTGGCAGAGAGGGAGTTGGGTATACGACTATTCCATCACTCCAGCTTGAAATTAGCCACCCGAGGGCATCACCTTTGCCATCTTGAAGTTATTAAAAGTATCAGGTATGTTCCTTCAATACCTATTTTACTGAGATATTTTTAACATGAATGGATGTCAAATTTTATTGAAAGCCTTTTCTGCATCTGTTGAGATAATCATGTGGTTTTTGTCTTAGTTCTGTTTATGTGATGAATTACATTTGATTTGTGTATGTTGAACGAACCTTGCATCCTGTGTATGAAACCAACTTGACCATGGTGGATAAGCTTTTTGATGTGCTGCTGGATTCAGTTTGCTAGTATTTTGTTGAGGATTTTTGCATCGATGTTCATCAAAGATATTGGCCTGAAGTTTTTTATGTTGTTGTTGAATCTCTGCCAGGTTTTGGCATCAGGATGATGCTTGCCTCATAGAATGTGTTAGGAAAGAGTTTCTCCTCCTCAATTCTCTGGAATAATTTCAGTAGGAGTTGTACCAGCACTTCTTCGTAAATCTGGTAGAATTTAGCTGTGAATTCATCTGGTCCTGGGCTATTTTTGCATGGTCGGCTACTTATTACTGCCTCAATTTCAGAACTCATTATTGGTAATAAACCTGCACTTGTACCTTCTGAAATTAAAAGTTAAAAAAATTAAAAATACTTTAAAAATAATAAAAATGTGATGATGAGCCTTAAAAAGCTTTAAATTATAGAACTAAGGCTAAACAACTATGGTAACAGTGAAAGAATATATATGCTAAAAACAAAGACAACATACAAATGGTAATATTACCAGTGATAGGAGAAAGACAGGTTAAAAAGAACATTCTTGAGGTTGATAAATAAATTACTGGAGCTATCAATGTGTTAATTTCAAGGCATAAAAATCCACTCTAAGAACCTAGAAATATTTAAAATAAGTACCCAAAGGGTCCCCAGGGCAAGTAGGGGTGATGGAGTTTGAAGTAAGCTTAAGGATATCTCTCTATCTTTTATAATGATTATATGTCTTTTAAGTGTTCAAATGTTACATTCATTGACATATATTTCTAGTGAGAAAAGTAAAATTTTAAAAAGAGACAAATACATATATGTACTTATGAGAAAACTGCTATAAAATGTATTTCTGTGAAGAAAGGAATTGGTAGATGGTGTAGGAAAGATACTTTTATAACGTGCTCCTTGCAATTTTACATCATGTAGTGAATTATTTTGAATTAAGAAATAACTGGTAAATCAAAGCTTTCTAGTTGAGATTCCTCTGGAAGGTAAAGGGCAGTTGTACCAGATGTTTTAGTCTTCATAAAGTAATATGATTACCAAGAGATAAATTCTCAATATTTATATTTTGATAAAAAGAAATCTAACAAAAGAACCTATTTAAAGAAGAAGATTAGGAGGAAGAAGAGGATGAGGAGGTGAGGGGAAAGATATTTCTACTTTTCAAATCAAATCATGTCTTGAGAGATTTTCACCACTGGTAACTACCCAGGTGTGACATTTTCAGAGGTTCATCCCTACTTGATACTGCTAAGATTTGAATATCTAGTTCCAAGTCAAGCAATGTGATTCTAGGCAAGGACTGGGGGGTTGTTTTATTTTGTTTTGTTTTGTGTTTTGGTATAAATCGTCTTCAGACAGTCAGCTTGTGTGGGAAATATTTTCAATTGAATGTTACTTTTTGTCTAAATACCCTCCACAATAGTGGGTCAGAGGAGCTATCTACTTGATATCCTAAGAACTATATACCCAGCTTATCCATATTTAGTCCCAAGTTATCCTGCATCCCTCTCAACACAATGGGCATGATTTCTCAGGCAAAACTGACGCTGCACACATGGTAGGATCCTGTGCTCACTTTCCCCTCTCTCTGTCCCTCTCTGTATGTGCACCTACATCTCCACCTATAGGTACACACACGCTCAGCTCTTCATTAATTAGTCATTGTTTTGCTCCCCCAAGAACGGATGACTTATTCTTTAGAAAAGGCTTCATTCAGTCCACCTCTTCGAAAGGACTCACTTCTCAACACTGCGGTTTATCGTTCTGAATTTTCCCACCGTGGATCTTTTTCTTCCGTCTATGACAGAAGGGATGCTTTTAGGGTTAAATAATACACAGCTGCCCACACTACCCACCCAGGACCCCAGTCCTTCTCTCCTAAATAGTCTGCACAAACTGTCCAGAGATGGTATCACAGACCTGGAATTAACACCAAAGCAACATAATTTTGGTACCTCTGTACTAAGCCAAGACTGATAATAAATGCTGTAATTAGAGACTACAAGAGCTTCTCAGCACAGCCTCACAAAAACCAATCTAACACTGTGAGGACACTGAGAAACGATTATCACTCCACACCTAAAAGTGTGTTTTCTCTCCATTCTTTTTGCACTTATTCAGCGTTGCTAATGTTAGAACTAAAGCATCTGCTTTCTGTTTGTTCGTTTTTTTGTTTGAGATGGAGTCTCACTCTGTTGCGGAGGTTGGAGTGCACTGGCATGATCTCGGCTCACTGCAACCTCCGCCTCCCAGGTTCAAATGATTCTCCTGCCTCAGCCTCCCGAGTAGCCAGGACTACAGTCACGCACCACCACGCCCAGCTAATTTTTGTAGTTTTAGTAGAGACAGGGTTTCCTCATGTTGACCAGGTTGGTCTCCAACTCTGGACCTCAGGTAATCTGCCCACCTCGGCCTCCTACAGTGCTGGGATTACAGGCGTGAGCCACCGTGCCCCGCCAAAGCATCCTCTTTAAGTGTGTTGTATGTTATGTGGCCATAAGATAGGCTTATTTTAGTGACGAGCACAAAATTAATTTCTCAAGATCTGCCTTGTGTGTATCCAACCCCCAACACACAAACACATATTCATGTGCATGTATACACACACACACACACACACACACACACACAGAGTTACAAGCTAGCATCAGTGGATAATATCAAAAGCTCCTGGAGTCAGAAAAAGTTAACAGAGTAAATCCACTTGTTTTGGGGTTACAGAAGCTTGGATTTTCCCCACCTCTTTCTAAATGGTTCTAAGGGACAATAGTTCTTTTCCCTGGGGCTTGTGGGGGAAGGTTAATTCTCAATAGGTGCTTTGAAACCTTAGGCTCCCTTTAATTACGTGGCTTCTGCTGTTCCCGATATTTCTTAATAAAAGAGAAACCCTAATAAGAATATATATGGGCTGATTCACAAAAAAATGTAACTAAACAGTACTTCATCTATAGGTCAAATCCTATAATGACAAAAACTAACATTTTCCATAAAACAAAAATACCCCACCTGATTATCCTTTATTTCAGAAAATATTTCATCAAAACTGTAAGATAAAGACCACAGCCATACTCTTGCAGAGTTCACCGCAATTGAACCTGATTTATTATGAGTCTGTGAATATCTTTATTCACAAAAGCTATTCACAAGCAATCCTCTGTTTTCTGTATTGACAGTTTCTCTATCAGGAATAGATGACACCAAAATTATCATTCTCTTTGTGTGGTTCCAAAACACATAAAACTCATTGTTTTTAACCAAGCCATTTCACTTTCCAATTCACAGACTCTTATTTGCTATGAGTCCCATTAGTCATTAGTATAAATTAGAATGGGTCTACAATTGTAATGACCCATGCCTTATTAACCTCCTCCCTTTATCAAGCACTGTGATTTAAGAGATATCAGTTCAGCCTACACAGGCTGCAAAATTAACATCAGCCACTCTGGAAATAATCATGGAAGAAAGCATTTAACAACATAAAAAGAAATCCTTAGCTATATAGGACCATTATTAATTTATAAGCTTAAAACTTATGGCAAATAAAAGAGTAGAGATCTATATGCAAATATGTGAGCATCTATCCAAGAATATGCCACTTCAGTTGTGTTGCATTTAGTTACTTCAAACACTGAATGCTTAAGCATGGAAAAGATCTGGTAATAGGTTTTAAATGGAGGTAGCATGGCTTAATGGACTAAGCTCTAGGACTTAATGGAATCAAGGAGTGAATTTTAAAAGCTGGTCTGCCACTAACAGGTTATATAAACTTTAGGAGTCACTTAAATTTTTACTAGCTTCAGCCTCATTACTTCTAATCAGTAACATCTGAAGTACTGTCTGCCAAAACCCACCCTGTTATCAGTTAAAAACATATTCAGATATGTGTGTGTTTCTATATGTGTCCACGTACTTATATTTTTACATAGGTATCTTCTCTTTACATATAGGCTTAATTTCAGTTATTGATAAAGGAGAATTTACTTTTTACTCTTTTTACCTTTCACACATCACTCTTCTAAATCCCTGGCTGCTGATGAAAGATAAAATCCTCCCTCTTCACCATTGTAAACTTTATATTGCTTGTGTATTTATACTGGAAATGGCACAAAAAGTTTAACTGTATTTTGACATTCTACTAGTCACATTTCCTGGTATACTAATGATTAGTATAGAAAGACCACCGGGGACTGAACATAATCATTAGGCAAGTTGTAATCATCCCATTCTTGCATGGTTACTTTTTAATCATATGTAGGGAAAGTGAGGGACTGCCTTACTTCTCTGACCCTGCAATTTATGCTAACATTAGTCATGTCAGCCATTGCTCCTGTCAATAGATGTCCTAGAGCAAACTAACAAAAGATGGAAATTGTAGAAAGAGGGAATGTAGATATCATGGATGAGATACCTTCTTGTTTATTTATCATTGATCCTCAAAATAAAAAAAAAAATCTAATATGTCAGTAGCACCCCTTCTTGTATTGTTACTTGTTTTCTGAAGTATGAAATCTCAAGGGAAGGGCCATGAACTGGCCTAAACACCCCTCTGCTACTCACTACTTCACATATTCAGCAAGACTGCTGATGTAGAGTGGGCCAAAACAGGAGGACATCTATCTGCATCTATTGGAAGAACAGACACATGGCCAAGTTGATATTACCATAATACAAAATATAACAAATCACCTTTTTACCATTTTCAAAGATCTAGGCACATTTTATCCTCATACTAACTCTACTGAGAAAGTTACTGTCATTAAATGATATTTTACAGTAAGAAAACTGAGGCAGAGAAAGGATAAGTTACCTTTTTAAGATCATATGCTAGAAAGTGGCGCAATGTGAACTTAAATTCTTGTAGTCTATCCAGAAGTGTGCCGTAGGAACTCAGATGAGAGCCTGCTGGCTGGAGCAATCCTGCTGCAATTGGTAATAAAACATATTTATTCTCAGAAAATAAAATCTTGGCTTTCCAAATGTCTCTTTAGTTGTGATATAGGTCTAAGTCAATCTATAAAACCTACCTTGCCTAGGCAGTATTATCTCATGGATTTATGTTTTAGTAGTGTGAGTAAATGCATGTCTTATGTAAAATAAGAAATTTTGAGGGAAAGGAAAGAGATGGAAGCTAGTATTCATTATTTATCTCTAAAGGCACTATGCAACATACATTAGTAAATCTTTAAAGTAACTCTAATATATAGGGATTGTCAAATTCATTTTTTCTGACAAGGAATTTAAAGCTCTAAAAGGTGTATCAACTCTCAAAGATTATCCTGATTGAAATTCAAACCTACATTTTTAAAATTTAAAAATATGTATGCTCTTTTTACCACATAAACACCATAGGCACAACCTCATTCCTTCCCTATTTCCAGTCCCACCATACATAGTTGGAGTTATTTATTAATTTTAAACTCAAGTTTTGTTTCATTTTGTAACTTCAATGGAATTATAGTGAAGGACTAATTTCACTGCTTAAGATGTAGTATCTCAAATCTCTAGTTATAAAGAAGGCTAAGCTAAGGGTTAAGGATCAAAAAGAGTTCATTTGACCATATAATCCCTGTCATTTATTAAAACAGATTGCATAAATTGCACTCAATAAGACAAAGGCTTATGATTATTTGATTTGTAACAACAAAACACATTCACTTGAAAACACTCAAGGTTGGCTCAGGCTCTGGCAGAATTATGTGCAGGTATCACAGCTAATCCTTTGAAAGAAATACAAACTGATGGCAAAACCCCTTAAAAGGAAGAAAGGAAGGAAGGAAAAGGAAGTAAGGAAGGAAGGAAAAAGGGAAGAAAGGAAGGAAAAAGGGAAGGAAAGAAGGAATTAAGGAAGAAAAAAGGGAAGAAAGGAGGAAAGGAGGAAGGGAGGGAGAGTTTGTTCAGGGAGAAGGAAATATACATATTGATCAAATTAGTCTTGAAATCTAGTATTTAATTTATAAAATAGTTCATGTTCCAGAAAACCACAGGAAATGAATGAATGTAAATGGTTAATACAAATATAACCCCCATTAATAAAGAACAGCATCAAACCTCAGGAAAGTCATTCTTTCAACTGTGTTTGAGTAAGGTGAACCCTCGAAGTTTTTATCCTTAATAATATTAAGTTTTCTAAGCACCAGCAGTGCTTAATAGGAGTATACTGGGAAGTGACTGGAAAGATCCATCAACAGCTGGATATGCACAGTGTCATCAACCTCAATTCAGACAGCTTGAAAGAAAACCTCTTGGAATTTTACACTGGTGACCATGAATCAGAGACAATGCCTTTAGTTCAGTGACAAGCATTAAGTTATGACCCTAAATCCTAAATTTGAAGGCTCGAATAGAAGATACCCTTGCTTCAGTAGAACCTGGCTCACCAAAAGGCTCACCCATATGGAGGTCTGAAACCTCAATTTTGTCCAGATTATACGCAGAAATTCCTCAAATCTCATATAATATTCATTCGCTGTAATGGAAACCATGCAGGTTCCTAGAAACTGTCAAGCCAGAATCTGAGCACAGAGTCAAATCTGGCAAAATAAGCTCCATTTGAGATTCATAATTCAAAATTAGAATACATGCAGCCTGTAGGCTAATTGTACCTTTGTGCAATCCAAGTTGATGCAGGGATGTCCGTGGAGCAGGTACATTGACCCAGAGTTGATACATGTGCCAAAGGTTTCTAGATAAAAATATGGGACAATGTCCTTGAGGTACATTATGGGAATGTGGATTATGGTAACTGGTGAATTAGCACATCCCTTGCCTTTTTTTTTCTGATAAAGCTTCTTTCTGGCAAATACCACTCAACATATTGTCAAGGAACAGACACCAGGCTGCTCATTGCAGAGAAGCTGCTAGGATAATTGATATCACATAAATGTAGGTTGGACCTTCTTGCAAAGGATACAGCTATCAGAGACAACGTAGTGTGGCAGAAGACATGTTGGGCTAGGAGAACAGAGACGTGGATCTATACTCCAGTATGCCATAAACTGACCTATTTATTCATAGGTAAAATGAGCCAGATTGGGGATGTTAATTTATTAACATAACACTTTCTAGAAACAAAACATGACAATATACATGTGTAGGTGCACACACAGGTGCGCACACAAACAGAGGTATTAGAATCGTTACTTTAATTCTATAGAGATCCTTAGGTAACTGGAAGCCATTTGCAGTTACTAAAATTCCTTTCAACTTTGTTATCACAAAATGTTGCATTTTTAACAATAAGAAACTATTTCTTTCCATTTGACTTATGAGAGAAAATAAAATAAGTAGGAACACCTACCTGTTGAAACACAATCCTGATGAGATCTATTGTTTTTACCAAGCAATGAACATGGGGAATGTGATTCAGGAGTCAAGCCTTATGACAAGGAAGAAAGAACGAAGAGAAAATAGTAAATGAGACTTAAAAGCAAAAGAACACAATCGCTTGCAGATAATGTCAACATCTCTTTCTAGGAGAAGCCAAGTCAAATATATCCCTCATATAGAGTCACCTCCTTTGGTTTGTCAGGAGGGAGAGGAGAGGGTGTTCTCTGTTCTGAGTGGGTCACTGAGTTACTAACCAGCTGAAATCCCTTCACCTGAAATTAGAGTTCCATATTTTCCCTGTGCAAAAACAAAGACTTAGATGTTATGGTTAATAGCTATATAAGCAATGAGACTACCTGCAAGATTCACTACTATTTTTATAGATTTAGGAGATACAGTGCACTTTTGTTACAACGACATACTGTGTAGTGTTGAAGTCTGGGCTTTTAGTGTAAACAATCACCCCAATAAGGTACATTTTACCTATTAGGTAATTCTTCATTCCTCACATCCTTCTCAACCTCCCACCCTTCTGAGTCTCCAATATCTTTTATTGCACTCTTTATGTTCATGCGTACACATTACTTAGCTCCTACCTATAAATGAGAGCATCCAGTATTTGACTTTCTGAGTTATTTCACTTATGATAATGGCTTCCAGTTCCACCCATGTTACTGCAAAAGACATAATTTCAAAAAAGATCAACACATTACAACACAGTTTTTCCTAGAAAGGTAAAAATAACACACTCCTTTGGCATTATTAGAAACCTCAAAATGAGAGGTCATTAAAAACCCACTTTTGTTATATACAAATAATAGAAATTACGAGGCTGCCCTAGAGATGTGAGACCCAAGAAATAGGATATACAAAATAGCAGAATGATAAACATAATAACAGGATAAATCCTGAGAACACAAAATAATTGCAATTGTGATGGGAGATATATGAAATTAGAAAGAGAAATATGCAAATTTAGAATAATTTTAATAGCAAAAGGTAACTAATTACAAAAGAAATACATAAATTTTACCCTTGATTCTGCCAGATTCTGACAAAACTTGGATGGAGTACATAATATTATCTCATGAAAAATTATTTAAGCTAAACTTTCACCCTTGGCCTATGTGTTGATCTTTTTACTAACAAGCAAAGTTTTTAAAATTGAATTCCCATATAAAATTTACTACTATTTGTAGCATGTGAAAAGCTCATTAAAAGTAGGTAAAGTTATTTACTCAAGGCACATACCTTAGAATTATCTATTAATATATTCTCATTAGTACACTGACACTCCCATTTATGTACAAGGAAACTAAGCCAAAAATTTCAGTTCATTTAATACAGCATATGGTATATGTGATGTCAAAAGAAAGGCATTCAAGGCCAGGCGCGGTGGCTCACGCCTGTCATCTCAGCACTTTGGGCGGCCGAGGCAGGTGGGTCACATGAGGTCAGGAGTTCAAGACCAGCCTGACCAACATGGAGAAACCCCGTCTCTACTAAAAATACAAAATTACTTGGGTGTGGTGACACATGCCTGTAATCCCAGCTACTTGGGAGGAAGAGGCAGGAGAATTGCTTGAACCTGGGAGGCGGAAGTTGCAGCGACCTGAGATGGGGCCACTGCACTCCAGCCTGGTAACAGAGTGAGACTCCGTTAAAAAAAAATAAAAAGAAAAAACAGAGAGAGAAGGAAAGAAAGAAGCAAAGAAAGAGAGAGAGAGAAAGAAAGGCATTCCTGTCATTTACAACAACATGGATGGAACTAGAAATCATTATGTTAAGTGAAATAAGCCAGGCACAGAAAGACAAGCATTGCATGTTCTCACTTGTTTGTTACATCTAAAACTCAAAACAAGTGAACTCATGAACATAGAGAGTAGGGTGGTTAACAGAGGCTGAGAAGGATAGTGGGAGCCTGAGGGGAGGTGGGGATGGTTAATTGGTACAAAAAATAGAAAGAATGAATAAGATCTACTATTTGATAGCAGAATAGGGTGAATTCTATTCAATAATAACTTAATTGTACATTTTAAAATAACTGAAAGGATGTAATTGGATTGTTTTTAACACAAAATATAAATACTTGCGGACACAACCCATTCTTCATCCTGCGATTATTTCACATTGCATGCTTGTATCAAAGCATCTTGTGTATCCCACAAATATGTACACCTACTATGTAACCAAGACAATCTTTAAAAATAGAAAAATGAATAAATAAATAAATAAATTTTAACATAGGGAAAAAGAGAAAGGCATTCCAGAGAAGGTAAAACACGAACTGAATGTTGGAAAACATGTAAGAGGTAACCCAGCCAAAGGGACAGGGCAGAAGGAAGCCTTTCTAGGCACATGGAGCTGTTTATAGTCTTTTGCACAGAACATGAGGGAGTGTGTGTGTGTGTGTGTGTGTGTGTGTGTGTGTGTGTGATGATATAAATCAGAGGTTGAAATGTTGTTGGAGAACAAATATTAAGGCATAGCAACAGAAGCAGCATGGAGAGACAGGCTGGATCTGTGTCATGAAGTATCAGGGTCATGCTTGGAAATGTATACAGTTTTCTGCAGACCACTGAGGAAACATTCAAAGATTTTAAACAAGAATATTTTTATTTGTAAAATAATCTTTCCAGCTAAACCACTGAAAATGGTTTAGAAGGGAATAATTCTGAAATCAGGGAATTCCATTATAAGGTTATTTTCCATAAACAAGATATTAATGAGAACCTGATTCAGGCAGGTGCAGAAGAAGTGACAGACTTGAAATATATGGAGGAATTGAAATCAATAGGACTTAGGAATCATTTCACGTGGCAGAGAGGGAGAAAACAAATATTATTGACAAGAATTTTATTTTTGTCACTAAGTAGAAGAGCAAATTGCAGGGCAAAAGAACACCAAGAAAGTTACAAGTTTAATGTAGAAGAAAAAAATGGTGCATCCAAGTTTTAGACACATGAGATAGGTAGTTATGTGTCTGGAGACTATGAGATAGGCTGGGCATGGATGTACAGGTGTGAGATTTACACGCATATAGAGAGTTATTAATCCATCAGAGTAAATGTGATCACTTAAAAGAGAAGGAAGAGAAGAGATCTATCTCTTGGGACTTTAATGAATACCAGTATTCCAAAATACAAACAAAGAGAAGTATATAAGAAAAGAAATTGAGACTAAAAGGCATACTGAGAATATAGGGGAATAACTGAGAGAGAGGAGAGATTGAGAGAAAGAGAGACTTAGATCATGGAAGCCAAAGGATTGCATGCCTGTATCAAAACACCTTATGTACCCAATAAATATATGCACCTACCATGTGCCCACAAAAATATACATTAAAAGAAAATTAAAAACCAAAGAAACAATGAACTTTGAAAAAGAGAAAATGGACCAATTTCCGAGAAAGGGCAAACAAAATAAGGAAAATTGAAAGTGCTTTGGATTTATAAACAAGGGAGCTATTTCCAGTCTTTAACCTAAGAAGTTTTGATACACAAGCCAGAATAGAGAGAGTTTAAAAATACATAAGACATTTAAAAGTGGAGACAATGAGTTTATATTTCTCTCTCAAGAAGTCTGAAGGAATTGGCAGTTGGTAGAAGGCTGAGCCAAGGCCAGCAAAGGGTTCTGGAGGCTCATTACGCACCCCCCTTTTAGAAACATTGTAGTTTTGAATGAGCTCAGTGATCTCAAAGAAACCTCACACAAGGTTTCTTACACAACCTGCTGAGCTCTAGAGGTTTTCTCATTCTTACAGTGCCAGGAAACTCTTATTCTCACATATCTAATCAACTGTTTCTTGTGTACAATTTCATACAACTATGCAAAGCTGAATGAGAGCATCATCTCTCTCTGCAACTCCTTGACATGTGCTTACCTGTGCTGTAAGGCTGCTTTGCTTGTAAATTCATGTAATAAACTTTTCGTTACAAGTATACGGTATGGCGAGGCACCAGTGGTGTGTGTCTGCTTCCCTTTGCAAATTATGGATGACCGCAATTAAAATATTCCACTTACTCTACTGCTATGATATTTTGAAAAGAACACAATTACCTAGGCCATCATGACAGGAGGAAATTTTTCCTCCTGGGAGCAGCAGCACATCATTTGGAGGACCACCAACTAGGTGGTCATGGCCTATCAGGACCTCGAATAGATCAGGGCACAAGATAATTAGGAGTCAAAATCCAAAGAGCACTGGATGTGTTGTTAAGGCTTCCAAGAGTCAATGAGAAGGAAGCCTGGCTCTACAATTCCTTAGAAGAACCCACCAATGTAAATGTGAACAGCTATGTTTGCTGTGATTATGGTTGCCGATGGGCCAGCTAAAATTTCAGAAGCAAGACATGCTGTGGACTGTGGCTGCTCCAATAAGGCAGGAGCCTGAAAGGTACCTAAGAATATTATAGAGCTAAACCCATGCTAGAGGCCCCAGGGACCATGCCTATGGGGCAAAAATGGAAGTGGGGAGCCTTTCTAGAGGTGTTTTCCTGTGGAATGGAAAGACTAGCAAGTTAGACAATAGGCCGAAGGAAAATCTAGACTGGATTTAGAAGTGTCAAGGAAGGGATAAACAGAAATAAAAACTGAGGATGGGGCCAGGAATCCTGCTCTTCGAAGGGGGAGAACCAAATGCTCCTGGGTTTGCTATTTATATCAGAGCTTCCATAGCTATTATTCCGGTTTGTTGGTTGATTCATTGGTTCGTTGGTAGGTAGTTTGCTGTTATTTTGTCAGCCTGTATAATTGGCATGTGCATTTGGAGCATGAAGGTGATTGGCTATGCTGGTAGGACGTTGCCTTTGTGACCCCAGCTAGGGAACTTAAAAGGGTCAGCCAACAGCATGACCAAGAACAATCCTAAACTGTAGTTGTTGGGGAAACCAGCCCCACACCACCCAGCAGGTACCCCAAGTCCAGTGGAGAGAAAGGAGTTAGAAAGAGACAGAAGAAGCATTTAAAAGGCAGGTCCAGGGGACCGGAGAGTCGGAGGCTTGCTCATGGCCCAGAGCTCTCGGGCTCCACCCAATTTATTGGTTTACAAGCTCTTTGTTCTTAGGGCAGATGGGAAGGGGAGGAAGGGATGAGGGAAAGGATTAATCAGTGAAGGAGAACTCGTGAGTCATTCGATAAGATGTATAGCAGTGGCGGTTTCTGTGAATTTCCTTGAGCAAAGGCGTGTGTCTAAATTACTTAAGATCATTAACTTATCAGGACTGAAATGGGTGGGAGCGGGTTTCAGGATGAGCCAAGATGTTTGATTATACTCCCTGCTTCAAGGGAGTGTTATCTCCCCCAGCAACCTGTGGAATGCCGCTGAGCGGTTACGCTCTGGGGGCATAAAGACATGAAGGCAATAAGGAGACTTTTCTCCTCAGAGGCCGCCCATGGCTCCCCATGGGTGTCTCACACAGGGCAGACCAACTCAACTGGCACCCCAGAAACTCTCTTTCCCACAGTAGTCTTTCTGGAGTCTCAACTGAATAATTAGTATATTCATTGAGACTTCTCTACTTGCCCATTTAAATCTCCAGCATCTCCCATCATCATTCAACTTCCAGAATCTTGTCTCCTCTCACAGCCACCAGTAGTTGTTCTCTTCCAAGACTTTTAGGTTTTTAAAACATGTATGACAATTCAGTGGTGGAGGGTACCTCCGTGCTAGTTCCTGGACTATTCTCTATGGTAACATGTGCGGATAAATACAGCTGCCTGGGAAGCCTCAAGCTGATCTGTGCTTTTCTCCATCCAAAGAGACTACTGACATCTACTTAGGCTCCACTTTTTAAACCACAGCTTGAAAAGTGGCTCCAGGCAGAATGCAGTGACTGTGAAGCTAACTTTCTGAGTTATCGTTAAGAATCACAGTACGGTCTTGGAATGTTGTCCAATGTCTAAAATACATGCTTTATATAATTTGTCTAGTTTCATAATCTTTGTGGAATAGAGTAAACCTTCTATTTGGTCATTTCTAGAATCAAACATTACAAAATTTTTAACAGCTACCACTCAATCACCTTCCCTAAACACTCACTAGGGATTTAGATAATATGTGAAAAGTTTTTAAAATGCAAGAAAGAAATAGAAAGAATTTTTATTAAAGAAAAGTGTAACCCAATAATTATTTTGTTTCAATCTTAATTATCAGTATTTAAAATATAATTAATATTTAATACTATTGCACTTTTGACTTTAACGTTTATTTTACTCTTGTGAAATGCCACAGAACAGAGAAGGAAGTGTATTTCAGGGTCTTCTCAAAGATGCATATGGCCTATTTTTAAAGAACAGGTACACACAACTGATATAAGGAAACAACAAGACAGGAAAAGATATAAAGTAAGATGTGGTAGCTGACGAAGGAAGACATGAAACCTAAGCTCCCAAATAGAATGTAATGTTTATATGTAATGAAATTGCTGTTTCATCTTGTCTCATTGCTAGAATGTCCTCTTTTATCATCCGATAGAGGAACAAGCTGGGGAGAACAGACTGTATTTAAGTCCACTCTGTATTAATCCTGAGTGAAAGCAAGGAGTAAAAAAAACTACCAAAGCACTTCTCAAAGTATGTTCCACAAAGTGCACTGTGCTCTTCCTGGAAAAGTTCATATATGGTCACAAAAAACTTAATAAATCTTGAAGACAATGAGAAATTCTACATTAAAATGACCTGATTAATTTGGCTTAATGTAGCCTTTCACAAAATTGCTTAACTACACAGAAAAATGTATGCAATCGTATCTACTAATATGATCTATGTTATTATATGGTTATGATGACTTGAAATGAGTAATCTTTGGAACACAATTTGAGAACTCCTGAGTTATTTTATTTCAAAATGTTTAAATGAGAGAAAAGGAAAGCCTGCAGACAACATGATGCAGTTTTTTTCCTGAGTCAAATTGATCAGTGGTGCTATTGAAAGATCCCATAACATGGTCTTCAAGACTAGAAAAATAATACACGTTTGACCCAATAACCATACAACTCAGGAGGAGACACATGAAAACTATGTTTAGGCAGATGGAAACATGAGTCGCAGAGTAACTTAGAAGTCAGTGTATATCAGAGAAAACAAAGTCAGGAGATATTATTCCACTGTTCAAAATACAAAGGTCAACAGACAAAAAGACAAATTGCAGTATTCTGGGTGAGATAGAGGAGCAGGCCTATTACTCAGCAATGTTACAGAAGGTGTATCTGTGCTAATGGAAAAGTCAGAAACAGGGTGGTGAAAAGAGCAATGTAATAGCAACATCATCAGCCCAGCTAGGCCTTTTATTAGAAAAAGAAAAATAGAATAGACACTTAAAGAAAAGACTGATAGAAGCCAACATTCCACTCAAAAAGGATTTTATAGCACACACCACAACGATCAGACACATTTCTACCAGCAGCAGAAGATAGCCAGCCATAAGAATATTAAAAGGTACTTGTAATAAAAATAGAAAAAAAAGTTTCTTTTTAAGAACCTGTATATCAAACAGTAAATCTATCTAGTAAACATGAAAAACACTGATGATTAAATAGGAGTGAAATCAGTATTATGTATACATGTAAATTATTTGCAAACCTGTATTGTTTAGCCAATTAACTCATAGATCATTCTCATTCATTCATTTATTATTTATTGACCAATAATATATAATTCTGATGTAATTCTCATTTAGATTGATGTTTAAATGGACATATTTAAACTTGAGTGAAGTCAATGTTATGATTTTGGTGCCTAAATATAAATTAACTTTGTGTCTAAGAGACGACAGCTTACCAGATAACCGGCCTTTACTTAGATATTTGTGTTTCATACTGTACCATCAAACATATGATGATGTTGATCCATCGTCAATAAAGGATGGGTTTCAAAGTATTTGCGAGCTGGGTTCTTTTTGCTGATTTTTGGTTTTATACGTTTGGAATATGGTAGATATGATCAAGTTGTATTATTAAAAAACAGATTCATGTCCTAATTATTAGTACAGTGTTCTAAAACAATGATGAACCAACAAGAGAGTTATCTTCATAGAGAAAATCTATACTTTCTAAGTAACATGTGTTCGGGGTTTTTTGTTTTTTTAGTTACACCTGTTATGAAATAGAGAAGAAGATGTTATGCTTGCATTTTAAAAAATTTCAATCTGGATAAATGTATCTAAAATATTCATAAAATTAAGCTTTTTCAGTATAAAAAACATGGTTTCCTAAATTGTTTACAGAGTGACTATAAGCTGATGGAGATATTTTGAGCACAAGGTGCAGCCGAATTTTAAATAACTTCCTCTTACTCCTCATCAGTATCTATATGATTTCTAATCATTCCTGTACACATCAGCTGTGATGAGGATGAATCCAGGTGTGATGAACATGTTCTTGTTATTCTGAAGGATGTTTATTTTTATTTATACCATTGTGTTCAGGCTGCTCAAGCACTGTTTAGAAGAAGTAGGCATGCAGAGCTTCCAAGTCAATCCTTATGCTAGCTGCATTTTTGGAGTGGATGTAGGCTCTCTTCTCTTTTGGATATAGATTTCCAGTTGGTATAGTATGAGTGATGCTAGGATACTAATTCTGAAATTGCCTTTAGTTCTACTGTGGTATAAAAAAAGTGTTGTCTATATAGTGGATCTATCTGAAATTTTAAAACTCTTTAGAAAATCTGAGAAAAAAGAAAACAGAAATTTCCCAATATCAACTTCCGTTAAAGAAAAACTTTCCAAGCCAGATGTCTGTCTGTAGAGTTGTATGTCAAGAACTTTGCATAATTATAGGTAATTATGCAAACCTTCTTGGAACACATATTCCATTTATTTTGTTGTTGTTGTTGTTGTTGTTCCTGAGATTAGAAACTTGTCAAAAAGGGCATTTTTACTTATCAATCTAACAGTAGATCCAAAAACCTTAGCATAATATAGGCTTTTTTTCTTAAGCATTTATTTGCCGACTAAACAAGCGATTCCTGTTTATTTCTACACGATAATAATTTTGAAGCTCAATCCACCCACAAGTCTAATGCTTCATATTTGCTGCTATGCAAACAGGAAAACTAAACAAGAGCCAACTAGAGAAACAAAGCTTAATGTTAGGAGCCCACCTGATCACACCCAGCAAATGGTTATATTTGGCTGATACTTATTAAAGCTGCATATTTGAGTCTATTAAGATGCATTTCATTACCTCTGACAAATGCAAATAGGCTTTCAACCTTTTCAGAGCAGCAGGATTTATTGTACAGTTGAAAGAATGATTGCATCTGCCTGTGGGCTTGGTGTAGTCTAATTTCATAATATATACACAAACAAGATTTGTTCTCGGAGTAACACTGCGACAATTTCAGAGCTGTAAGTCAGGTTCTTGATGAGCTCCTGAAAATATTTGTTTAGTATTCTGAATAATACATATAATTTACAGTGTTATCCTGAGATAACGAGGAAATGTTATTTCAAATAACAGCTTACTTGGTAAACATGGTTTTCAGTGAGATACTTCCCAGCTATCATGAGAAACCATACATTTATTTTAGGTAAGCTCATATCTATAACTCATGTGCCAAGAAAATTATGAATACTGCAGTGAATTGGCTGACATTCTGCCAAATAAGATTTAACTAGCAGCATCAAAAATACAAATGGATTAATGCAAATTAATTGCTTTGAAAATGCTTTATTGCACTGATAAAAACTACATTTTACTTGAAGTACAATGGGCAAACTATAACTCTTAAAAGCCACCAGAAAAGTATAATAAAAAAATTTGAAATAATTGTAATATAAAGTATTAAAAATATGTCCACTTTCAAAGTTTAGCTTACAAAAAAATGTTATTTCCACATGTCAATTTTTTACTTGAATTTTTAAATTTTTATTTTTTCAAATTTAATTATACTTTCCCACAAAGAATGAGATACACCTTGAATGTCCTGGTACACTTTACTTCAACAGTTAACTTAAATTTAGGTAGCTGGAGTACTGGTTCTCCTATTATTTAAAAAAAAAATTTATTTATCAAATCTGCATTTGCTTTTTCCTCTGCTCATTTGAATTTTGTATGAAGTTAGAAGATTTCAAAATTGATTTCTAATTATTTGTTTCTCTGTTTGCTTCTAGGGAACTGTAATGAATCCTTAAAGGTGTAAACATATTAGTCCACAAAATATAGACAGATGATAGATATAGACAGATAGATATACATATATGTGTATGTATATATGTATATTCTTATATAAATATAAGTTATATATAGTAGTAATCACAATAAATAGATATTCTTTTCCACACACATCTATCTTAGGCAATGTTTGCTGGAGTCTTGTAGACGTGAAAAATGCAACATAACTGCTTGTATTAGTAGGTTCTATTTCCTTGTCATTGTTTTAATAAATCAATTTTTTTCTGATCAATCTTCTAATGTGAGAATGATAGAGATGTTTTAAAATAAGAAATTAATCTAGTTAACTGAAAGAAAAACAGGTTGAAAAGTTCCAGGACACACATTCTGAATTAAGGCACAATTCCATATCAATGTTTTTTAGTTGTAAGTCATTGTTTATAGTATTAAATATATTAAAAATATGTGACCACCTTAAATTCCCCTAAAGATAAAAGCTTTAGCTCTTCATTGTAAACTTTGGAACTACATCAATTTTATTTTATGTAAAAACAAAATTTATACCAGGTTTTGTTCTTTATCATTTAGATATGTGTTATTATTAAATAAATATATTTCAAAGGAATATAGGAAATGAACAAGGGAACTGAATTATAATAAATTAAAAAATAAAAAAAGCATCAATAAGAGACATTTGTATAGTACAATGAGCAAATATACACACACACTACCAAATGACGTCAATGTTTTTTCTCTGACTTCTAGATAAATACTTTACTGACAATAAGAAAGAAAATCCAGTTCCTTTCATGGTACTACCAACAAGAGTGGAAAAGTGAATTAGATAACCTGAATCTGCCTCCCAGTGACAAAGTTCATATCTTTAAATAGCCCCCATCTCTTTCTTCCTCATCCACTTGACCACGCCTGTATCTGCCACCACATGCATGCATAAATTTCTCATTACCACCCACGGTATTCAGTGTAAAGAAAAAGTACTTTCCATAAAACAACAGCTCCTGGATACTGACACTTGTCTGCTCAGTATGTATCTCTTCTCTATAGAATAAAATGCAGGCAAGATCTAGAAAGCTTCAGGCCTTTTAAGTCCTCAATCTTACTGATTAGCAACAGGATAGGAGAGGTAAACTCCGTCTTCAACGTGCTCCAATCTCTAATTGAATCACAGGCAATTAAATATGTTCTCTTAAAATTGGCATTAGTTAATAAAAATTATTTCAAAAATATGAAAATGACTATTGTGATCCTTGAGTCTCATAACTAACGAAGCCGAATGTGTCATTCATGCAGCTGCCACACACTAGGTGTTCTCCATTTTCTAGGTATGTATCAGAGAACATAAAAGAAGATCCCTGCTCTTATTCAGCAATAATATTGTGGGGTGGGGGGAATAAAAATTATAAGAAAATAAACAAGATAATTTTAGCCTCCTTAGTCTAGATTAGTCAGAGTAAAGTTTCTATATTATCCCAGTCATCAAATATTTACTAAACGTCTATAAAACACTGGACACCGTTCCGGTAGTTGTGAATAAACAGAAAGACCTCAGTTCTCATGCACTTAACATTCTAATGGTAGAGGATAGACGATACATTAAATAAGCAGGTAAAACACAAAGTATGTTAGATGCTAATAAGTACTGTAGCAAGAAAATAACCAAGGAGAGTGCATAGAGAATGCCAAACCAATGGGGAAGGGAGTGTCAGGTTTTCATTTCAATTCAGATAGTCAAGAAATTACTCTCTCTCTGAATCAGGTGAGCAAAGTTCTGAATGAGGTGAGATAGCCAGGGCTGAGAATCACCATGGGGCAAAATATTATTGATGCCTTGCTTGTTTCAAAAACAGTAGGAAAGCAAGCATGCTTAGAATTAGTACTCAGGAAGAATCACAGCAAGAGAAGAGCTGAGACAGATAAAGACCTATGTTAGAGGGAGTATACTGATGGTGCAGTACCTTATAGGCTTACAGAATCTTGCAGTATCTTATAAAACCCTGTAGACCATTCTAAGGGCTTTGAATTTTAATCCTAGTGAAGTGGGAAGCATTTGGGCTGATATGGTTCGGCTCTGCGTCCCCACCCAAATCTCATCTCAAATTGGAACCCCCATGTCTCCAGGGAGGGACCTGGTGGGAGGTGATTGGATCATCAGGGTGATTTCCCCCATGCTGTTCTTGTGATAAAGAGTGAATTCTCTTGAGATCTGATGGCTTAAAAGTGGAAGATTCCCTGCACTCACCCTCTCTCCTGCCGCTGTGAAAGAAGGTGCTTTCCTCTCCTTCGCCTTCCACCATGATTGTAAGTTTCTTGAGGCCTCCCCAGCCATGCAGAACCGTGAGTCAATTAAACCTCTTTTGTTTATAAATTACCCAGTCTCAGGTAGTATCTTCATAGCAGTGTGAAAACGGACTAATATGTGAGCATTTTGAGGAGATTTCATGTGACCTGATGTATTAACAGGGAAGAGGATAACAAGACCGATTAGGGTAGTATGGCAAGTAGCTGGAGGAGAGAGGAGCATGAGCAGTATTATTATAGCAGAGGAAGTGGTGAAGAATCACTGGAATTTGAAGATACAGTCTATAGGGTTTATTGGTGATTAGAGCTAGTGTGTGAGAGAAAGAGAAGAAACAAGATTTTTGACCTGAGCCAGGGGAATAATGGAGTTGTTACTAACTGAGATGGAGAATCAGGGAAGGAACTGCTTTTGGAGGAAAGACCAAGAGTTCTATGGACACATAAGTTGTAAGACATCTATTAGGCATCTAGGATATCTAAGTATGAAGATGAACATAGAAATCTGGGGTTCAGGGGAAAGCTCCAAGTTGGAGATTTATATTTGGAAACAATTATATTTAAAAGTATAAGAATTGATGAGGAAAGTATGACAGTCACATGGAACTATGCCTCAGGGAATTTCTAATGAGAATATTCTCAGATATTTACAACGGATGTAACACAGAGTTAAGTCTTTAATACATATTAGCTGTTATTGTTTTTTAGGATTCTGCTTTACGTGCAGTTTCTTTTTATTCATAATAACCAGAGTAAGTAAATACCCATAGTCTCAAGCCTGACCAAAATATATTACTACCCATGTAGCTGAAGTTATATGTCACAGATTATAAGCAAGTTTCAGAACACAGGTGGAAATAAAAGGCAACATTCCTAAGATAGCAGGAGGGTGAAATGCTTAACAGACACTGGATTCGTGGAGATTTAGCCATAGAGCATCCCTTTCTGATAATAAGTAAATGTGCCATCAGATTGTGCCCCACAAATAGGTTTATATTGCTCTATATTGGGATAATTCAGAGTCAAACTCAGAAGTAACTTGGTTGGCATGTAAAAGTCATAAAATATTAAACTTGGCCATATTCTAAAAGGAAAGTGAAAAGAAAGACTAGCAGAAAATATAAAAATGTGTTGGGGTTGTGCTCTATGATTTTTTACTTTATGTTTGCCACTCAAGAAATTCTTCTAATTAAGCAAGAATAAGACACATGAGCATTTTCAGTTATTTCAAAATACAATTTTTTATATTGCTTTAAATCATAACCTTATTGAGCTCTAATTAAAAATAAGAGGCGATAGTAAGAGTAACAAGTGTTTCTGCAATCACATTACACTGATTTTAAAGAATGAGCTTTATGAGTAGCAAGAGATTCAGAGTGATTTCAGTCCCATCCCCAAGGAAACCCTGATAAAATCTATGGTAACATTTGCTGGTCTTTCCACATTTTTGCTTTTATGTTTCAATCATCAAATTCGGCAAAACAGATTAGTCACTCGCAAAAACTCATTTTTCAGTCAATATCCATTGTGTTTTTCTTGTATTTTTTTCTCATTTGAATCACTGTTAAATTGTGTAGCAAAATGAAAATTAGTATTTTCTTGGTCAATCATATTTCTATCCAAGTTCCAAGATGCAAAGCATAAACACTGAAGTGGTCAGTTAGGAATAATCCCTCATGAGCCATTGCTCCATCAGCATATTTGCACTTGAAGTTCCATTAGCAAACATTACTCAGAGTATCACATTATAAAATATGTTACACAGACACCTACACCTTAACAGATACTGGAAGGCTGCATCTATTATGTCACCTAGTGGATAAAAAGAAAATAGCAAGACTACACCCTATATATTTGGGGGCAGCACTCAGATCTTAAAGTATTTCTTGAGTTTACAGTACCTGACTAGAAAAATTGTAGAAGCAATTGGATAATAGATGTAGTGACTTCTGGTTCTCAGGAGAAAGGGGTCATAACTTAAACATAAAGTTATCTCCAGAAGTGAGAGAAAAGTTGAGGATCTGGTGATAAGACGTAAGCAGGATTTTGATTGTTTTTCATAAAAGCTAATCCAAGTCCTGTCCAAAGAGAAATATGGTATAGATACTACTGGCACATATCATGCAAGCTACTTCAAACTTCTCTATATATGTGAGTTGATATAACTGATGAGACTATCATTTTTGCTTTCAACAGCTATAGAATTATTATTTCCCTCAGAAATGAGGAAGTAAAGCCAAATCCTAATACAGCAAAATCATGACCAGACATGTGTTTTAAGGGTTTTGAAAATCAGCTTGTAAGGCAATTTTATAGATTATTCAAAAGTCTAATTACTCTCAGGAACACAAATGATTGAAATACTTTTCTACAAGAGATGAGAAGCTACCTAATCATTGTCAAACCTAAACTTAATTGATAGTCACAATTTTAAACCTCAAGGCCTTACTATTGGTTAAGGGTTTATATTTTTATTGAGTATATTTTAATGGAACTTGACTCTCCAAATTTTGACTGAAACTTGTTTTTCCTGACACAAGTATGTGACCTAGATATGTAGCTTACAACTCGCATAGCACAATCCTCAGAACTGACAGATACATTATGCAGTTTAATTTTTCTTTTTAAATAAAAAAGATTGGCTCTTGTTGGAAAGTTTTACTTACTGGAGAAACAACCAGCAAATTCAAAAAAGAAAAGAAAGCTCACATATCCTTACAATTCCAAAAGAAGAAAGATGCCCATATTCTAATCAATTTACGTGAACTTCTCACTTCATCCCACTGATGAATAGTTACACAGCTGAAAAACAGGCATAAAATCTGTCAACAATTGTAACATGACTAGTTAAGGAGAACTGCTGCTAGTTCCACTTACACTGATCTGAAGCATAAATATAGTTAGCTTGGGCAAGCTTGTCAACCAGGTCATCTGCCTTAGGCATGAACCTAGCGTACAGCAGTTTTGATGATTCTTTACTAGATTCCAACTGTTAAGCAACTCTAATGCTATTTTTCTTAGGTATTGGTGTAATTGTCCCTGACTGAGAAGTGACTTAGTTTCTTTGTGTTCCATGTATCTGTAACTTGTTGCCCAAGGGACTTGTCCCAGCCTTCACTCATGTCATGTTCCATTAGCTATGATTAACTAGGAGTAGATTTAAATAGCCTAAAATGTTTTTTTTTCTAAAAATGGAAAAAGTAAAGGAATTGAATTTTCAATTATTCATAAAGGTTTTTCAGGTGAGTGAATATGTGTATGGGCTCACGTGCATGTACAAATGGGTTAGCACCTGTTGTTTTCTTCTTTAACCTGTACTGGTAAAAATAGACATAAGATAGTGATAGGCACTTCAATATTTTCATTAGCCTTGGATTCCCCAGTTGGCCAGCAATAAGACTTACTCTAATTTTTTGGTATGTAATAAAGCCTAACATATACTACTATAAGAAGGAATCAAAAATTAACATTAAGGCAATAATATTGAGACTCTGCAATATTTACAAAGATTTTCATCATGACATTTTTATAATAGTAATGAATTGATAATGATTATTAAGCATCTCTTAAATATTTAAAATATGAAAAAAGGTCTAAACTCATTTAAATGGAAAAGTTTTCATTATATTTTGTTAAATTAAAAAGTAGATTACAAAGTCCATGTATGATATAATTGTGTTTGGAGGGAGAGTACTAAATATTCATAAGCAGATATGTAGGCATAGAAAATTACCTCAAGAGATATACTTTAAAACGGTAATCACCATTATTCCTTGATAAAAAGATTTCAAGTCAAGTTTTGTTTCTTCTTTATTACTTGTTATGTAGACAAATTTGTGGTATATCCATACAATGAAATGCTACTCAGCAGTACTAAAGAACTAATGGTACATATAACAACATGAATGAATCTCAAAATAATTATACTAACTGTTATTCTAGTCAGCCTGAATTGTCCATCTACAGATCAGTAACCAAATATATATCTAAAAGGTGTGTCATCTAGGAGCTTTAGTGAAGGTGAAAAATAATTAATTTCCCATCTTCAGAAATAAGCCATCTAATTGCACATTTTGCATGATGGAAACAAAATGTTATGTACTGCTGAGCTAGACTGAGAGGCCTGGTACAAAACTGGCATGTTCCTTAGAGTCAACATGAGTTGACTATTATCTAAAGACATCCTTGGTCTCTTCAAAATTATGTATGCTATGGTTCAAGACTGAGCATTATATTGGAAGGGAAAAAAATGACAAGTAGAATGAATTAACATTCTGTTTATTATTCTACTGTTAAAACAATAATTTATTAATTTTCTGTAAGATCATATGCTGTAATTACAGAAAAAAAACATTCAAATGTTGCCTTAGCTTTGATTCATTCTATTAAATACAAGATGCATGAAATTAAACCATTACAACATTGTGAATTTCCCGGTTTTGATAACTGTACGATGGCATGAAGTTGTTAATGTTAGAAGCATGTAAATTCTGCATTATTTTACACCATTTCTGTGAGTCTAAAATTGTCAAAATTTAAAAAATAAAATAAAATTAAGTCAAAATTAAAAGTTTAAAAAATAATAATTATGCTGAATTAAAGAAGCCAGACATTATACAGCATTATGCTACATAATCCATTTATGTGAAACTTATAAAAAGTGCAATCTATAGAAACGAAAAACAAATAGTTGGTTGTCTGAGGCTGGATGCAATCAGAAATTGACTGCAAGGGGCATAAGGGAACTTCTTAGTGATAATAAAAAATGTTCAAAACCTGTATTGTCATAATCATTGCATGACTGTATATGTTACTAAAACTCATTAAATTGTACACTTAGAATGAGTGCATTTTATGGAATATATCTGCATCCAATAAAGATTAAGAAAAGAAATGTGGCCGGGCGCGGTGCCTCACGCCCATAATCCCAGCACTTCAGGAGGCCGAGGCGGGCGGATCACGAGGTCAGGAGATCGAGACCACGGTGAAACCCCGTCGCTACTAAAAAAATACAAAAAATTAGCCGGGCGTGGTGGCCGGCGCCTGTAGTCCCATCTACTCGGGAGGCTGAGGCAGGAGAATGGCATGAACCCAGGAGGCGGAGTTTGCAGTGAGCCAAGATCGCGCCACTGCACTCCAGCCTGGGCGACACAGCAAGACTCCGTCTCAAAAAAAAAAAAAAGAAAAAGAAAAAGAAAAGAAATGTATGTAGATATGTGTATACACCTATGCAAAGATGTACATATAGGAATTTCATTGTAAAATTGATCATAAGAGAGGAGAAAAAAAAAACTGTGAAGACACCAAAATATCCCAAACCAATACATCGAGTAAGTTATTATTCAGTCATGTAATTAAACAATGTACAGCTGTGACAAGAAAGAGAAAGAACATATATGTGTGCAGATAAAGAAATATTTCTAAGATGTAAAATAACAAAACAGAACACAAAACAGTATGTATATTAAGGTACACTTTCTAAAAGGAGAAAATACCATAACTTGTATATTTTTCATGAGTATAAAAATATCTGAAATCACACAAAAATTAACAGACGGGCTGAAGGAATGGAAAACAGAAAATGAAATTATTACTTTCACTTTAAGCTCCTCTATTTAATTTTAATCTTATATATGTGAAGCTGATGATTATCCCCCAGTACCTACTTTCCCCTTCTTTCTGCCAATTTGCCCATTTCTAACAAGGATCATAGCTGCCCAGCTAAAGACTGTATTTCTCAGCCTGTCTTGCAATTAGGAAGGACTATACAACTAAATTCTTACAATGCAAAGTGAGCCAAAAGCAAAGCATGCAATTTCCTGGGCATTTTTCTTATAATAAAATTGCTTGACTTGTACCTCCTTATCTTTATTTTTCCTTCCAACAGGCTGTAGGATGGACGTTAGCCAGCTTTGGCCATGCAAATGAGAACAGCACCTAGGTGACAGTGCATTCTAGAGCTGAGCTATCTACTTTTTTTTTTTTTTTAGACGGAGTCTCACTCTGTTGCCCAGACTGGACTGTAGTGATGCAATCTCGCCGCACTGCAACCTCCGCCTCCCGGGTTCAAGTGATTCTCCTGTCTCAGCCTCCCGAGTAGCTGGGATTACAGGCGTGAACCACTGCACCCGGTCTGAGCTATTTTCTATCTCCTAACCTTAAAATTGTTATCTGAAAGATAAATGCCTGTTTCATGTAAGCTCTTGAATTTTGAGATCTTTTTATGGCAGCTTGGCCTATACCCTAACAATGACAGCACATGTTCTATTTTAAATAAAATTTATATTTTTAAAATTCAAGATCAAGAAAACACATATATTTAAAGTAAGATAATCAATGTATAAATCCCATTACTTATTCATTCACTGCTGATATTTCAATAGCATTTAAAACTTTCATTTTAGAAAGGTGCAGTAATTTACCAGTTGATATTTCTAACTTTTAATCTATAAATCCCAAATATTTCTTAACATTCTTGTGTAAAATAAAATGACCCATTGTTATGTCCAAAGGAAAAAGCCAGTTCTTTTCATCTTGTTTCAGAGATTTCTTTTATATTCACTTTTCTTCATTTTCCTAGACAACCCTCTCACAAGACTATATTTCATTTTGACAGCTATGATACTGTCACTTGTTTACTTCTCATCAGATAATGGACTTTGGTATCTGATTAGCTTTACTTTATTCTTGAAAGAAAAATGTCATCCTGAGGCTAACATACTTACTGATAGCTGTCAGTACAGTAACCTTTAGCACCTTCCCCAAAATACTCTAACAACTTTCACAAAGCATACTGCAAACAAAACTAGCTGTATTCAAAAACTGACATTTATAATTTGAAAAAGGTTTCTAATAATTATGGTCCAAAAATCTATAAAACTTTTAATTTGCAGGAAACTTGCATGGCTTATCAATCACTTTCATGATCAGGCACTGCACAAGGACTCATAGCTAGTGTCACTATCAAAATGATGAGTATGGTATGATTTATTTGTCCAATTCTTCTAAAAGGGAAAATACTTTTTATCTTGAAACTTATTCTGTACAGTGACTTCAGAGTTTTCAACATTAGCATTAGGAAACAGACAACTGACTGTTTCTAAAACTCAGTAATGTGTAACCAGATACACCATGACTAATAATAGGGTTAAGGACATGCTACCTCAAACTATGGCACCTTGGCCTTCGAGTAAACAGCAGAAGCAAGGACCCTACTCTCATTTTCTCCTACACTGCCGTCATGCAGAGTGTCATTGCTGAATTCTCTGAATATTGCTTGAAGAAAATATTCATTCCAGAAATATCACACTTATATCCAAAGGAAAATACACAAAGATGCCAAGAAGAATCTAAACAAAAAGGCCTGAGTTACCCCAGTTTATTACCATTAGATCACACTTCCTTTTGTGCAATCGTATTTCTTCATGACTTCCTAATCTTCATTAAAGCTAAGCATCAAAATACAATTTTTTTTCTCTTTCCTTGAGACTTTATTCTGGAAGGCTCTCATGTCACATAAAATTTATGATTAAATAAATGTGTATAAATGTGTATGGTGTGTATGCTTTTCTTTTGTTAATCTGTATTTTGTTATAGAGGCCTCTGCCATGAACCTTACAATGGGCAAGACATTTCTCCCTTACACTACGACTAATCCTACATTTTAAATGTGTTTATTTGTGCAGGATACTATATCTGGAAGTATTTTTTTTCCCTGAGCCATTGCTACTCTTATTTTGTCATCAATTTTACCATAAACTGACATAATTATGAAAAATTTTTCTGTTTATTAAAAAACAAATAAAACAGTATCTTACCCTAAAGTGCTGGTTTAGAGAGTTGGGTCTCTTCATGCTTGAATGAACCCGCCTAGTCTACACAATCATTTTGGCTTTGACGTGTTGAGTTTATTATTATATGAACTTTACTGGTGTTGAGGTTATTTTAGAACTTTCATAAATAACTAAAAATTATCTCTTGGCGAAAAGGGACCCTCCAAAGATGGGCCAACCCTAGTATGTGTTAGGTAATGAAGAAAAATAGACGAAGACTATTGCACAACCGATAGAGTTCCATCTCTATCGATCTTACTCTGATTTTGAGTTGACACCCAGAATAAGGGGAAGGTGGATGGAGATGGATGGGAAAGGATAGATGTGAGAGACACTGAGCAATAGAATCCATAATGACATATGACCTATTGGATATGAGTAATGATAATAGGAAGAGGTCAAGGAAGGCTATAAGGCCTTAGGTTTGACCAAGTTAGATAATGGGGAAATGTAAAATAAATTTAATGAATGAAAATAAAAGCCACATCTACCAAAGTTCAATGTAAAGTAGGCAAGGGCAGCAGGACTAAGTCAGTGGTTCAGTAAAGTTGAGAATATTGTCAGTTATAGACATTCAAACTCTTATGTTTGATTTACTTGGAATAAAGAGAGAATTAGCATTCTTATAGAAGGCAACTTACAGATTCCTGCTTTGAGACCCAGATTTGTCTGTGTTAGAATTAACAACAGTGGCAGGCTGGGCATGGTGGCTCACGCCTGTAATCCCAGAACTTTGGCAGGCCGAGGTGGACAGATACTTGAAGTCAGGAGTTCACGACCAGCCTGGCCAACATGGTGAAACCCCATCTCTACCAAAAACACAAAATTAGCTGGGCATGGTGGTGCGCACCTGTAATCCTGCTACTTGGGAGGCTGAGGCAGGAGAATCGCTTGAACTCAAGAGGTGGAAATTAGTATTCTGCATCAATTTTTAAAACCTAGTTCAAAAAAAAAAGATACTTAAGCAACTTTTGTTTGGCAAATAATTACTTGATGCTTTAGACCTAGATTTGAGCTCAAGTTTCTCTCAAGGGGAGTTATAATTATTCAAGAACCCTAAGATGGTAGAGATCAAATCGATTATTCTAAGAAAAGTAGCAGCATTGAACCATTGCTTTCAAATAAGCTTATAACGCTTTTATTTAGAGATATATAGAAGAAAAATAATTGGAAGAAATAGGATTTATGAGGAAAATTATGCTCTGCTCCTTACCCAATGTAAGTCCACTGCCTTAAGTCAGCTGAAAAGCTTGCCTCAGGCTTGTGAAGACCTAAGTATGGAGATTCAAAGGGTTTAGAAACATTTATAACAATTTTAAAATGTGTTTTGGAAACAATAACAAACTGGTCTGTATAAGTTCATATTTGCAGTGTTGCTGTTGTTGGTTTTTGTTGGTTTGTTTGTTTTGCAATGTTGGATTACAGCTAAATAGAAACTTTCAAAAACAGTCTTCCACCACAGGAAGTTTTTTTAGAAGCACTGTTAGAAAACAAATGACACGTCTAGCCAGGCACGGTGGCTCACACCTGTAATCCCAGCACTTTGGGAGGCCGAGGCGGGAGGGTCACCTGAGGTCGGGAGTCAAGACCAGCCTGACCAACATGGAGAAACCCCATCTCTGCTAAAAATACAAAATTAGCCAGGCATGGTGGCACATGCTTGTAATCCCAGCTGCTCGGGAGGCTGAGGCAGGAGAATCGCTTGAACCTGGGAGACAGAGGTTGCGGTGAGCCGAGATCGCGTCATTGCACTCCAGCCCGGGCAACAAAAGTGAAACTCTTGTCTCAAAAAATAAATAAATAAATAAATAAATAAATAAATAAATAAATAAAATAACATGTACATAAACATGGGGGGCATTCTAAGCTTTTTGTAAAGCAAAGTATTGTACAGGTTGCAGAAACTCAAAGTCTAGTTTCATTGAAGTATAATGTATCTAAAAGTTTAAAGAGAGAGAAGGTGTAAATTAACTTAGGAAGTCTTGAGTGCTATAGTTTAATTAGTAAGTAGTCCCAGAAATCTTTCCTAATCTTTAGGCAAGAAAAGGTTATTACTGAAAATGAGACCATAATGTAGATAAATATGCTAGTTCTAGTTGCAATTTTTTTGTGAAGACGCAGTTCTAAGTAGTGATCTTTCCTTCCTTCTCTTCTCACTCTCCCACCACCAGCACAAAGCTTGAAGGAACAACCAATAACAAATAGTCTGTTATATTCTGGTACATTTCCCTATATAGCCAATGACTTATAAAAAAATTATTACTTCAAACCCAAGTTTCACCAAACATCTCAGAAAATGAGGTTTTGAATAGCTCCCCATCAGGTATTAAATATAAGCTCAAGTCATCCCATTACTTTTTCATACCAGAGAAACATTGACCCCCATTCCTCTTCCTTATTGCTGAAAAACAACTTATTAATATGAAATTTTGGAAAAAAGGCTTATAATCTTGTCCTGGGAGGATTTATTCTGGTTTATTAAGATGTACTATATTTGACTGATGGGGGGAAAAAAACTACCAAGAAGGAAGGAGAAAAAACTTTTCAGGAAACCAGATTCCTAAACACTCATGATTTATCAGTTGAGGCCCTTAGCATAAATCTCATTCAAGTGAATAATTTGGTACGATGTAAACTTCAAAAATATGCTCTATGATATATTAGCTGAACTCAGATCTTTCCTTTACTCTTAGTCAAAAATACCTATTAGAGAATATGTAAGCTATAATGAAGCAGATGTCATTTAAAGAGCTAATTCAATAGTCCCCAATATTCATTTATTTTTCTTTTGTTCTAACTGTGATAACATTCATTACAGTGATGTTGCATCAAAGAATACAAATAGAAGGCTTCTTTAGAAGCAATCATGAAGTTTCCTACCTGAGTTACTCCTTATATTGTGAAGGATTAAAAGGAAAAAAATCTAATCCTGTATCTTTGCTAACCAATGGTTTTAATTATAATCTCAAAAGTCATGCCTTCAACTGAAAATGAATTTGCAAGAGACTCAGCACAGATATTATTTTGAAAAACTACAAAAACAAAACCAAAAATACTTCTGTATTGACGCTAATAAAAGATATTTTTTAAAAGTTGGTATGATAACTTGTATAAAGTTATAAAATGAATATGTGGCAAATATTTTATTTAATTCATTAGTGAGAGTACCAGTAAGATGTTACTATTGGTTCATAGAATTCAAAGTGTTTACATGTATACAGACAATCAAGAATGCTGAAATAAATTTGCAAATGAATGTAAATCTGATGAATATCCACATGGCAATAATCACTTGCGTTCTACTGGACAAAATTTAATAATTTGCATAGACAAGAATTATTTGTGTTACTAAATAGTTCAAAGAAGATGAAAGGTACAAGGCCAAATAGAACCAGATCACCAGGAAAGGTGTGTTACGCAGGACACTCAATACTTTTTGGGTTTTGTCCATTTCTATGCCATTCACAAATTTTCCCTACAAGGCTGTCAACTGGAACCGTCTGTTTTTGTATGTTGTGTACTATTGCTGTTCTTGTTGTTATTCTTTTCCCAGTGTATCCTAACACAAGAAGAGACAGATAGTTAAGCTTCCTTAAAAGTGGAATGTCCATACAATTGATTTTCAAAAAGCTTAGATGCAAGACATTTGAGAAGGGGATACATCAGGTCACCTGACTCTGTGCCTAACATCTTTTGATGACATGTATAAGCAGCCATGCGCTCTATGTATAGGTTTCTTTGCATTCTCTATATGAAAAAAATGCATTTTTTTAATCCACTATCATTAATTGGTGCTTAAAAGCGCATGTTTGTTTCAGGAAATCTGCTTGACAGTCTATGGTGGCAGAAGAAAAATTCCATAGACACTTTGCTCCACCAGTAGAGTGTAGAGTAAGCATATAGCCTTTCAGATTAGGAACTGAGTGAGCATCTAGCCTTTCAGTAAATGGGAGTGCTAGAAAGCAGTGGGATGTTAAACCAGCAAATGGCTTCTGTGGCGGTGGCCCATGCCTTACTGTGGCTACTCTGTCTTACACTGTCAATTTAAAGCTCTGACCAAACACAACTTAAAGGTGATTGGTGCCCTCTGAAAAGGAGCTACTCGTTTCCAGAAAGGCCCTATTAAGCAGGCATCAGTGTTTCCTGGAAACTTGAAAGGGATATCACAAGCCTGAGGGTCCTTGGTCCTTCTAGCTTACTCCTCTGAGCCTTCTTGGTTGATTAAGTCTGAGGTTCTTGTGTGAGGTGCTTTGGGGCAGTCCACACTGTGAGGTTGGCAACACAACACTTCTTTTTGTGATTAACCTCCCCAGGGCTCTCAGCTCAAAACCTTGCACTTGAACTCACTTCACTTAAAATTCTACAAAAGCCAGAACCCCTGAGGTCTCATTGGCTTCTAATGAAATTTGTCTTTTCTGCCAAAAATTTATCTTCTTTAACAGAAGCCTATTTCCTCCCACCCATCCTCCCTTTCGGAAACTGTCCAGCTGTGGGTCAGACCTCATATGCTCTTCTTCTGATACCCAAGATAAATCTGACTTTGTGCATACCATCATTCTGATTCAAATAATTACACGCTTGGTTTAGTAGGGGGTGCCAGCCACAAATGTGATAATTTCTTCTTCCTGCAGCCTCACACAAAGAGGTAATTTGTTCCATGCCCCCAGCAACAGGTGAATGGCACAAAACATGAGCAATGCATGCATGGAGAGAAAGCCACGTTTTATGGATAAAATGGGTGACAGAGAAATGATCCATGTGCACAATTACTAAATTTGCATTAATCATTTTGGGATGGATGCTTTCATTGTATGAGTCTTGGGAAATTTGGCAGAGGAAAGCTGTTGCCTAGAGAATAAAAATAGCTTTATTCTTGCCGTCATAAGCCTGAGCACTGGGGGATTCAATTCCCTTGCCAACTTCTTGAAACTCCAGCCCAAGGCATTGGAGTGTCACTTAAAGCTCTGCACTTCTTAATCAAATCCCAAGTTTTTCATTTCCCAATACTTAGGTTTTATTCGCTCTCCAACAACAGTATCAAATGAGCTTGGTTTTCATTTTACAATTATGTTCTTTTTCTAAACTGGTATGAAAAAAAGTTAAAAGGTATCCCAGAGGTAAATATAAAGAAGGTGAAATATAGTTATTAGTGTTGGTTTTTTTGGAAGAAAAGCTTTTATGTTTCTTACAAACCATTCATTCTAGTTCATAAATTGGCAGGAAGAAATGGTCACTCACTTGAATGTCATCAAAACTGATGCTTAAGCCAGGTGAAAGTGAAATAAAATCTATGCCAGCAAGCTTGTATGAAGAAAAATATATATTTCCAGCTGTACTACAACTAAATATAAGCATTAAAGGGCTTAGAGGAGAAAAAATGGAAACATTATGGTTGGTGAGTTAGGGAACAAATCAGTATTTACATAGTCATATGAATGAAGGTTACTATGGTTAACCCTCTCTTCCATTAATTATACCTAAATTGTATATCTTTTTTTTTTTTTACTTGGGGTATAGTTCTTTCCATGCTCACAAACTCAGACTGTCGTTTGTGAACATCTTCTCCATCACTCCTACAAGCTAACAGCCTCTTCTTGCCTTATCACGACCTCTCTTCCCTGCCCACACACACATACTTCTTTAAGGCTTTTTTTTTTTTTTTTTTTTTTTTTTACCTCCACCTCCTGTATTTGCTTGTATCATGTTTGTGAGCACTGGCATAAATCCTTTCCATTGGACCCAGTCTTTTTCCGTAGACATTCTCCTAAAAAAAAAGAAAGTTAAACTTTTTCCATTTGAGGCCACCCTCACTTGCAAACTGAACTTTGGTTCTTCTTTGTTCTGCCTGCCAATAACATCTAGAGTAGGCCAAGGAGATGTAGGGGTATGCCGACAGCATTTATTACCCCTTTCAACTCCAATGTGTTCCTTCCTCTATATCATTCCCCTCTTTTAAAACTTTTTTTCCCTATGAAACTAGCAAAGACAAGAAATATGTCCTGGTAGAAGGGATGGTAAAGAGGGGGAATGCTAATATTTTACAGAAGAAGTTAGACCTTATCTCCAGTAGGTAGAATAATGGGTTTTAGCCAACCTAAAAGTCATAGCTAAGGCCCACAGATGAAGGCACCCAGTTGAGTTCAGCAAAGCTGCCTGCCCAACCAGAGAAGGATGCAGATGAATGATGGAACCCGGTCATAACCAGAAGAACTGCCAAGCTAAGTCTCATCTAAATTGCCAAACTGCAGAATTAGGAATTAAATTCTTATGGCTGTAATTTACTAAATATTAAGGTGATGTTGCACAGCAATCGATAAATAATACGACATTTGCATCACTACCATATTACTCCACAGGAAGAGTTTGCATCCCTGGATCCTTGCATAGCTACTTCTTGCATGCATGGAATGTCTTCACAAGCAAGTTGGTAATCTTTGCTAGTTTAGCTCTCAAACTGTTCATCTGTAAAAAGAAGGTGTTTGCCAAGTGCAATGGCTCATGTCATAATCTCAGTGCTTTGGGAGGCCAAAATAGGATAAACATTTGAGGCCAGGACTTTAAGACCAGCCTGGGCAACATAGTGAGACCCCATCTCTAAAATATATATATATTAAAAATGAAGGTACTACCATGTGATATACAACACCACATTCAGCTCCATGACTCTAAGAATAAAAAGAAAAAAGGATTTTTAAAAATCCTTTTCTTTAAAAATAGAGCATGGCTGGTAGATGCACCAAAGATTACTACTTCTTATTTAACCGGATGAGTAAATTTTAGCAACTTTTAAAATGAAATTAATCTCTGAGTTGAATATATACATTTATTTCACACTTGCTTTTCTCATTATTTACCACCACAGCAAAAGAAACTGAAGGATGTGGTATAGTAACAAAAATAAACAGTGAACAATAGAAAAAGAAGGAGTGTTTGAATTATCAAGTAATGAGCCCCATTACTAACCCCTAATTAAAAACACACACACAGAGCACAGTAGTCTCTGTTTCTATATAATATAGATTTAATAACTTTGTCTTTATATTAAAAAAATCTAGTAAGTTACTGTGATAGTTAATACTGAGTGTCAACTTGATTGAAGGATACAAAGTACTGATCCTGGGTGTGTCTGTGAGGGTGTTGCTGAAGATCAACTTTTGACTCAGTGGGCTGGGGAAGGTAGACCCACCTTTAATTGGGTGGGCACCATCTATTCAGCTGCCAGCGAATATAAAGCCGACCGAAAAACGTGAAAAGGAGAGACTTGCCTAGTCTCCCAGCCTACATCTTTCTCCCCTGCTGAATGCTTCCTGCCCTCAAACATCGGACTCCAAGTTGTTCAGTTTTAAGACTCGGACGGGCTCTTCTTGCTCCTCAGCTTGCAGAAGGCCTATTGTGGAACCTTGAGATCATGCAAGTTAATACTTAATAAACTCCTCATATATATATGTGTGTGTGTGTGTGTGTATGTGTGTGTGTGTATATCTATATATCCTATTAGTTCTGTCCCTTTATAAAACCTTGACTAATACAGTTACTTTACGCTTTCTGAAGTAGGGTTAATCACAACAACTAAATTTAATAGATGCTTTATTTTAAATGCAAGATAAACATAAATTTTGTGTGTATTGTCAATTTATTTCCTCTCAGCTCCAAATTTGCATGTCTTGACTCTTACTTTGTGATGTTGAAGCTGGACTCTGACGTCAGTTTCCTCAAGGCAGCTGACACAATGTTAGGCTTTGTCAATAGAGGGTGCTGGAGGGATGTTGAAAGACAAAATAGAGGCAGGAGCTTCTCTTCCTGGTTCAGAAGTTTCATCTGGCCAGGTGCCATGGCTCAGGCCTGTAATCCCAGAACTTTGGGAGGCCGAGGCTGGCAGATCACCTGAGGTCAGGAGTACGAGACCAGCCAGGCCAACATGGTGAAACACTGTCTCTACTAAAAATTAAAAAATGAGCTAGGTGTGGTGGTGCACCTGTAATCCCAGCTACTTAGGAGGCTGAGGCAGGAGAATCACATGAACCTGTGAGGCAGAGGTTGCAGTGAGCTCAGATCCTGCGCCACTGCATTCCAGCCTGGGCGAGAGAGCGAGACTCCATCTAAAAAAAAAAAAAAAAAAAGGGTTCTTGGTTCTTGGTACAGCTCTCAGTAGTTGGGTATGCAATTGACCCAGCGCAGTCACTCTCTGGCTAGTTCCTAGACCACAGAGGTAGGATACACAATGAATGCCACAGTGGTGTACCTGATCCTATGGGTCAACTCAGTCTGCTGACTCTGCAGCCAGTCCCTGTGCTCCCAGCTGGCTGCTTTCTATGAATGAACTCCAGCTTTTAGTGTTTATATTAACCAAGTTACCCAATAAGCAATAAGTACTATCATATTGTTTTGATCACGTTTGACTAGCAGTCAACTATTACATCAAAAAATACATAAAAATTAACAATTCATATATGCTTTCTAAAGTTTCAAAAATAAACTTCAAAGTGGACAGTATAACTGCTCTATCAAATAATAAGCAAATTAAGAGAGCTACATCCAGTCTGACTTTTTTTTTCAGGAGAATATAAGTTCATTTACTATAGTCGAAAGATAGTAACATTATTCTCAATATGTAAAATATCAGTTATGGTTTTCAGAAGGTAACAATCTGAAATAATATCAGTACTGTAAACACTTATACAGTCTTATAAATGTCATGGAATTTTACTAAAGAGGACTAAATTCTCTAGAAATTCATTGTGGATGTGGGCCAGCAGCAGTTGCAATTTGGCTCATAGTTTTTATCAGACCAGGTTCCCCAGAAGCAGATTCTAAGAAGAGGATTCTTTTGCTAGTGATGTAGTAAAATTGTATTTCCAGAAGATGGCTAAGAATGGAGATGGAGGGATGATGGAATTCGAAGAAACATATGATAGAGAGGAAGCAAACAAACGGTGCTACTGCAGACAATGTCCCAGAAGGGTGATATCAGCCTGCTACCACAGAACTCTGGCATATGAATCATGAGCTTGGTTGTCATAATCTCATAAGTTCAGTAATTGGCTAAGGGCAATTGAGCAGAGCAACAGTGTGTGCTACTTAGCAAAGGAAAATAATTCTTCTGTCTTTCTCGGTGTCTTTATTTCAGATGCTTGTCAGAACTATTCTGAACAACATAGAACAGAGACAAGATTTGGAATCAAATAACTTATCAAAAGATCAGGCACGGTGTAAAATAGTGATGATCGGAGATGGATTTAGCAGTACAATGGCACTCTCCAAGTCAAGATCCCTTTCTCACAAAATAAACAGCCATGTTCGGAAGAAACAGAGTGAATCATGAAACTCAGATATTACATTAAGTTCTGTTTAAGTATAATAATTGGAGGCTATAAAGGTGGAGGGGTTTTCCAGGGACCTCTTGGGCCTCTTTTTCTTAACCGTCTCACCTTATGTATTTGTTTGAGACTCCAGGCTGAATGCAAATATTTAGGTATGTTTTCCAATTTTGGTTCAGAACATTTCTCTTTGATTCTATGCAGCCTGAATCTCAATCATGTCAATCCTCTGACAAAGTTGTAAACAATGCAAGTAAAAGAGTAGACAATAAACTGCTGAGCCAGAGAATAATAGCAGGGAAACAGGGATTTTTAAAAGGCTGCAGCTAAAAAGAAATTTGGCAACTGATAAAATTATGAAATGAAAAATCTGAATTTTACTGTCTCATAAATGAAATATAAGGACAAGCAAGATGGCTTCAGCATAGTTTAATATGACTAGGTAGGGATAGTTAAGAATTAGAGAGCACCAGTATCTGTATTTATGCCAGGTAATGAAACATCAGTCATATCCAGAAAGTGTATTTACCTGAAAATAAATCTCAGTTAGCTTAAAATTACATTCTAAGAAGTTAGGATATACAACGAACGCCAAGAATGATGTGTTACAATGTCAAATCGTTTTGTTTCTGCCAGATTTTACCCTGCATAAGGTAAATAATATATATTTACAGTTTCATCTTTGGCAAAAAAAAAAATGAAAATGAAAATCAGATTTCACTCCTTTTCAAGAGAATTCAGGATATACCAAGACTAATCAGGTAAGTCAAACAAATCAGGAAAAGCAGTCTCAGGTTCACAAAGGTAAAATTAAAGAAACATTAATGACCTAGGAAACAAGGAGAGTAGTTGAAATAAGAGAAACAGCAAATAGAAATTAAGTTATACTATAAAGAGACATTTATTTATTCTTTTTCTCTCTTTCCCCTTCTTCTTCCTCTCTCTTTCCTAATGAGGAATGAACTACATACAATAAAGTGTATTAAGTGTACTAATTTTTAGCATACAGCTCAACAATTGAATTTTTACACACGCACACATACACACACACACACACAGGCCATTTTCAGCATCCAGACACCCAGTAAATTTCACCAGATATAATGATTATTCTGATCTCTATCACCATACATAAGTTTTGTCTACTTTTTAACTACTTGTAACTTGAAGCATACGTATGTATTATTTGGGTCTGGCTTTTTTATAACCCAGGATTATATATTTAAAATCATCCATGTTGTTGCATGTACCAGAAATTTATTATTTTTTATTGCAGTGTGTGTTAAATTGTGTGGATATGCCACATTTTAACCATTTTAATTAGGAAGAAATTACAAATTGTTTCTTTTTGGGGGCTAATATGAATACTGCAATAAATATTTTTGTAAATGCCTATTAACATACATAAGACTCATTTCTGTATGGTATAATCAGGAGTAAGATTGGCAGGACAGCGGGGATGAAACTTGGATTTATACATACAGACAAACAGGTTTCCAAAGGGGCTGCTTTAATCTATACTTCCACCAGCAAAGTATCAGTGTTCTAAATATTTCACATTCTTTCTGGCATTGGTATTTCTCTCCAATTTTTTTAACCATTCTTATGGATTTAAGTGGTATAACTTTGTGTTTTTGTGTTTATGATTTGAATTTCCATTATGACTAATGATATTAACTGCCTTCTCATGTTTATTGGCTTTTTCTTTTTCGAGACAGAGTCTCACTCTGTCACCTAGGCTGGAGTGCAGTAGCACGATCTCAGCTCACCGCAACCACCACCTCCCAGGTTTAAATGATTCTCATGCCTCGGCCTCCCAAGTAGCTGGGATTACAGGCATGTGCACCCTGCCCAGCTAAATTTTTTGGTATTTTTAGTAGAGATGGGGTTTCATTACATTGGCCAGGCTGGTCTAAAACTTCTGGCCTCAAGTCATCCACTCACTTCAGCCTCCCAAAGTGCTGGGACTACAAGCATTAGCCACCACACTGGTGGCTATTTGATATCTCTTTTATGAAGTGCCTGTTCATAATTTTTGCTCATGTTTAAGCTGTATTGTCCAACTCTTTTCATGATTTGTTTATCCTGACTTGGCTAAGGGATGCCCAGACAATACATCAAACATTATTTCTGGGGGTGTCTGGTAGGGTATTTCTGGAAGAGATCACCTTTTGACCTGGTGAAATGAGGAAAGCAGATGGCCCTCCCCGATGTGGGCAGGCATTCCCCCACCACCATCCATTGAAGGCCTCAGTAAAACTATTCATAAAAGCCTGAGGATGGGCCAATTTACCCTGTGCTTCAGATGATACATCCATCTTCTCATTCCCTCAGACATGGATGCTTGTGTTTCTTAAGCTTCTGGACTCAGGCTATGACTTACACCACAGGCCCTCTAATTGCCAGGCCTTCGTAGTCAGACTAAATTACACCAATACCTTGGTTATCCACCTTGAAGAGAGCAGATCATTGAGACTTCTTAGGCTTCATTACTGAGTTAGCCAATTTTGGTATGCTATTTCACACTTTCAATAATTTTTTTGGAAGAATAGATGTATTTAATTTTAATGAGGTCTAATTTTCTTTTATGGATGGTAATTTTATTGCCCTATTTAAGAAAGTATTGCCTCTGAAGAAATCATGAAGATATACCTCTATTATTTCTTGCAGGTAGTTCTTTATAGCAATGTGAGAATTAATATAATAGAAAATTGGTACCGTGACTGTGGTATTTCTGTAAAGATACCTGAAAAATGTAAAAGCAACTTTGGAACTGGGTAACAAGAAGAGGATGGAAAAGTATGGAGGGCTTAGAAGAAGACAGGAAAAAGAGGAAAGTTTGGAACTTCCTAGACAATGATGAATGGTTGTGACCAAAATGCTGATAGTAATACAGACAGTGAAGTCCAGGCTGAGGTTGTCTCAGTTGCAGATGAGGAAATCACTGAGAACTGAAGATCACTCTTACTTTTGCAAAGAGACTGGCAGCATTGTGCCATTTCTCTAGAGATCTGTGGAACTTTGAACTTGAGATAGATTACTTTGGGTATCTGGCAGAAGAAATGTCTAAGCAGCAAAGTGTTCAACAGGTGACCTGGCTTGTCCTTAAAGCATACAGTTATACGTGCTCACAAAGAGATGGTTTGAAATTGGAACTTATATTTAAAAGGGAAGCAGAGGAAAAAGTTTGGAAAATTTTTAGCCTGACCATGTGGTAGAAAAGAAAAACTCATTTTCCGGGGAGGAATTCAAACCTGCTGCAGAAATTTAAATGATTAAAGCGGAGCTGAATTTCAATAGCCAAGACAATGGTGGAAAAATGCCTCCAAGGCATTTCAGAGTTTTGTAGCAGCCCCTCCCATCACAGGCCTGGAGGCCTAGAAGGAAAAATGGTTTCATGGGCCAGGCCCAGGGCTCCACTACTCTGTGTAGCCCCGGGACATGGTGTCCTGCATCCAGCCACTCCAGGTTCAGCTGTGGCTAAAAGGGGCCAAGGTACAGCTCAGGCTGCTGCTCCAGAGAGTGCAAGCCAGAAGCTGCAAAGCCTTCCACATGGTGTTAAGCCTGTGGGTACAGAGAGGACAAGATTTGAGGCTTGGGAGCCTCCATGTAGATTTCAGAGGATGTATGGTAACAACTGGATGTCCAGGTAGAAGTCTGCTGCAGAGGTAAAACCCCCATGGAGAACCTCCTCTAAGACAGTGCAGAGAGGAAATGTGAGGTTGGAGCACTCACACTTAGTACCCACTGGGGCACTGCCTACTGAAGCTATGAGTAGAGGGCCACCATTCTCCAGACCCCAGCATGAAGCTGTAAGGTCCACTTACAGCTTACACTATGCACCTAGAATGGCCACAGGCACTCAACACCAGCCCATGAAAGCAGCCACAGGGGCCGTACCCTTCAAAGCCACAGGGTGGAGATGCCCAAGGCCTTGTGAGCCCACCCTTTGCATCAGTGTGGCCTAGATTTGAAACATGGAGTCAAAAGATTATTTTGGAGCTTTAAGATTTAATGACTGCCCTACTGGGTTTCAGACTGGCATGGGTCCTGTAGTCCCTTTGTTTGGATGAATTTCTCCCACTTGGAATAAGAGCATTTACCCAATGCCTGTACCCCCCATTGTATCTTGGAAGTAACTAACTTGCTTTTGATTTTACAGGCTCATAGGCAGAAGGGACTTTCCTTGTCTGATGAGACTTTGAACTTGTACTTCTAAGTTAATGCTAGAATGAGTCAAGATTTTGCAGGACTGTTCATAAGGCATGACTGTGTTTTGAAATGTGAGAAGGACATGAGATTTTGGAGGGGCCAGGGCGGAATGATATGGTTTGGCTCTGTGTCCCCACCCAAATCTCATGTTGAATTGTAATTCCCAATGTTAGAGGTGAAGCTTAGTGGGAGGTGATTGCATCATGAAGGTGGTTTCTAATGGTTTACCACCAACCCCCTAGTGCTGTTTTGTGATTGAGTTCTCACAAGACGTATGGTGGCTTACACTTATAATCCCAACACACTGGGGGGCCAAGGTGGGAGGATCACTTGTGGCCAGGAGTTCCAGACCAGCCTGCACAAAATGTTTAGAACCTGCCTCTATAAAAAATATAGAGGCTGGTCTGGAATTCCTGGCCTCAAGTGATCCTCCCACCTTGGCCTCCAGTGTGTTGGGATTATAAGTGTAAGCCACCATACCTGATGCATATGAGCTTTAATATCCTGACAAGAGAAATAAGTATCTCATTGCCATTTTCTCAAAAGTAGGATAGCTTCATTTATGCTACTGAAATAAACATGGAATTAGGGTAGAAAATTGGATTTTTTTCTTTTTTTGTCCTTGTTCCCTTTCAACTCCTCACTTGACTGTGTATTAAAAAGGCATAAACCTTCATTTTATATTCAATATATATTAAACTTTACAGAATATGCCGGGCTGCTGGGATTCAAAAAGGTTCTTAAAACATCTAAGAACTTCCTACTGAATATTTAAACTTAACACTTTAAAATTTAATGTTTCTTAAATTATTTTGAGTGATTTTTAAAATATAAAATTATTATAATATATGAAAATGTATATGTATTAGTAAGAGGAGCTATATGAAATATTAATTTATTTTACTCTTATGTTTATCCTTTTCAGGACCTAAAGAACAAACTATAAAATACTGAAACACACCATGCAAATATACGCACATTACTCTGCTAAATATCGGAACCAAAGTAATCTATTTAGAGAAAAGGTTGGTATAATCCAATAAAAGAGATTTTTGGAATATAATAATAATTAGGCTAATAATAATAATGATGTAACAATTATTAAAATGATGAGGATAACAATAAAAACATCTGAAATCCATTGAAAGCTAAGCACATATATATTTTTTAAATTGTATCTGTACTGAACTTGTACAGGCTTGTTTCGTGCCCTTATTCCCTAAACAATACAGTCCAACAATTATTTACATGATATATTAGTTCATTCTCACACTGCTATAAATACCTGTAACTGGGTATTTTATAAGGAAAAGAGGTTTAATTGACTCACAGCTCCATAGGATGGACAGGAAGCATGGCTGGGGAGACCTCAGGAAACTTTCAATCATGGTGGAAGTTGAAGGGGAAGCAGACAAGTCTCACATGCCCCCTAGGAGGAAAAGAGAGAGAAGGGAACGTGCTACATGCTTTCAAACAACCAGATATCATGACAACTCTATCATGAGAAACATAAGGGGTAATTCCACTCCCACGATTCAATCCCCTCCCACCAAGCTCCTCCTTCAATACTGAAGATTATAATTAGACATGAGATTTGGGTGGGGACACACAGCCAAACCATATCACATGGCATTTACATTGTATTAAGTATTGTAAGTAATCTAGAGATGACTTAAAATATAAAGGAGGGGCCAAGAGCCGTGACTTACGCCTATAATCTCAGTATTTTGGGAAGCCAATGAGAGAAAATTACTTGAGGCCAGGAACTTGAGACCAGCCCCTAGAAAAAATTTAAAAATTTAAAAAATTAGCCAGGTATGTGGCACATACCTGTAGTCATAGCTACCTAAGAGGCTAAAGAAGGAAGATTGCTGGAACTCAGGATTTTCAGGCTTCAGTGAATAATGGTCATGCCACTGTACTCTAGCATCGGTGACAGAGAACCTGTCTCTAAAATATTTTCTTTTTAATTAAAGATTTAAAAAATAAGGCATACAGGGAGATGGGCATGGTTTATATGCAAATGCTACACTATTTTTTATGAGATGATAATCCACAAGTTTTGGTATCTGAGGGTGTTGTAGAATCAATCTGCCAGGATACTAAGGGACAACTGTGCCAGTATTTTATGTTGGTTCATTTATTTTTCCTACAAACCTTAAAGGTTATGTGTTATATAATTATTATATCTTTTTTGTATAAAAAGGAAAACTCAAGCACAGAAAGGTTAAGAAAGGTGTTCAGAGTCACATAGATACTTAATGTTACAACCAGGATCTAAACTAAGGATCTTACAGTATATAAGAATGACTTCACATGCCTATACTCTTAACCATCACTCTATATTACCACTATTGTTTTCTAACTTGTATCCATTGTTTTTAACCAGTAAATAAATAAAAAATACTAGCCAATGACATCTCCTGTTTGATGATTTCTCATAGAGAAGACGGTTTAAAAATTGTGTGTGTGTGTGTGTGTGTGTGTGTGTGTGTGTGTGTGGTGTTATTACAATAACCTGACCCTTATCAACTGGGTTTATAAAATCAAACATTGAACTCTACTTAGGGCTTTAAGAGCCTATTCTTCATCTTTTCTAAGCTTGGAAATAAATTTTTTTTTTCTCTTTTCCTTACAGGGGTGAGAGGTGGCCTTTTTACTAATCTCCAAGAGTGCTTGTGAATTAATTCAAACCTGGTAAAATCTTTCACTTGAAGGAATCAAGGTTGTTATGTTACGGGACCCTCCGTTAAAGAAACAGAGGCTTTGAAGGTACTGCCCTGTCTTCACAAGTTATTTATTCTTGGGAAGAGAACATCAAAACTGCTCCAATTCCTTTCAGAAAAAGTGCTTATTTTATATGTTTTATTTTGAGAACCAATCTGCCAAAATTACTTTAATCTTCTGAATCATTCTTAAAAACTTTAAAGAATTAAATTCTCAAATATTCTCTTTGAATAAGAAAAGAAAATGAGGTGACAGTTCAATGCGCCATCAAGGAACCCTTCAAATAGGACACTCAGGGAGACAAATGAGAAACATTGTATAATTAAAACTTTACTGATCTTTTAAAATTTGGTCCTTTAACTTCTATCAGTTTACAGATTTTCATTTAAAAATGAACATAACCAAAGAATTGAAATAAGATTTTTCAAAAAGACAATCAGTTGAAACCATATTTAAACAAATTTCCCAAGCTCTGGGGCGGCTACTTTTCAGTGTGAATTATTTATTTTATTTTTCCTTTGAATGATGTAAAAGTTTCCACATGCCTACTTTGAAATTGTGAGAAAAACACGAATGCTTCTGCTTTATGCTAAATGAAACAAAAAGGTAACTACAGACTTTCATTTTTAATACTACATATTCCCTTACAGTTATGTCAAGTGTTTTCTGCAATAAATTATATTCCTTCCAAAACTGAAAAGTACTACCATCTCTTGGGTATTCATGAAAGTTGCATAAACGATTAAAGTGCTCGTTGTAATAACTCCCAATATGTTAAATATAAACTTGTTGAGCTCTCATCCCAGTTAGCAAGAAGGCACAATGCAAAACCTGTGTTGAGACTTTCCCATCTTTTTCAATCAGCCTGTAAAATAAAGTGAAATGATTTCACCAGTTTCAACTAAACACTTCCAAGTAAATCAGAGTATAAAAGGATCGTTTTTAATCCCAAGACATTTTCAGGTCATGTAAAAAATGTTTGTCAAATATAATTGTTCTCTGTCCCTTTTTAAACATCATGGTATTTGGCTTTGAAATGTATTTGACTATACCAAAATTGACAGTACACAGCAATTTATATGTAGATTCCAAAATGGGAGTACAAAGACCCAGGACCTCAAAGAGAGCCTGCAAAATATAATTATAAACTGGAATAGAGAGTATCCTCAGTTTCTGCAATCTACCTAGAAATAGTACTAACTAGGAATATAGTATAGAATATTGTAAATATTCAAAAAACTACTCCTGGAAATGCACTTGTATTTCTAAGCTGCCTTTTCCCACTAAGGAAGCAATCACTGCACTTCAGGCAAAAATTATGTATAGAAAAATAATACTCCTGTATTATGTGTGCTGTACAAATACACTACACACACACACACTCATACATACACACACTTGTTTCTCTGTATTCGCAAGGAATTGCTTTCAGGACCCCCCTCCCCCCGCCCAGATACAAAAATCTGCAGATGCTCATGTCCTTTACATAAAATGATGTATGTAGTACTTGCATATACCTACATAGTTCAGATCGTATCTAAATTACCTATAATACCTAATACAATGTAAATGGTATCTAGATAGTACTGCATTTTTTATTTGTACTATTTTTATTGTTGCATTATGTTGTATTAATTTTTTGAATGTTTTTGATCATGTTTTACAGATCTGGAACCCACAGGTATGAAGGGTAAAACTGTATAAATGTAAAATTTAGGACTCAGAACAAAATTATTTGTGATTATTATTATTGTGATTGTTATTATTATTAAAATTATTGTGATTATTAATCTCATCTCCAGATGGGGAATCCAAGGCTCAGTAATAATAAATTGTCTAAAGTAATGTAATTAGTAAATGTTAGACCTGGATGCAAAGTTAATCCTTTACAGTTGAATTCTATGCACTTTCCAGTATACCAGTGAAGAAAAACTATCTTAGACTTACTAGTTTTAAAGACATGTTGATGCAAAGAGGCAACTCAGAAGATTTCTGAAATCGAGTTAAATATTTAATACTAAAATGTCACACTGAGGGGTTGCCACTGCTGAAATGTCCTTGTAAAAGCCACCTTTTTCTATATCCTCACCAATCAGACCTGCAGTCTAAAGTGATTGCACAGAAAGGTGAATGAGGTAAATCAATTCTTAAAACAAACCACAGGTGAAACTATACAAATGACTACTTTCAAAGGTTAATTATCTCTCCTGGGGAAAGACTAGAATCCCAGAAGGAATTTGGAAACCCTAATATATCCTGGATTAAGTTCATGCCTTCTGAAATTGCAGTGATTTTCTCCACCCAAAGATAAGCTAAATGGAAGAACACCAGAGGAAACAACAATAGAAACCGGATTTACCAATTTTTTAAAAAATAAAAAGATTGACTCTGCAAGCCTTTTACTTAATCATCTCCCATTGACAAACGTAAAGCTCTTAAAGTGTTGCAATGGGAGTCATGTTCAAAGATTTACAGATAAGCCTTGGTTTAAAGGCATAGCATATATTTCACATCATTCATAGTCTTCACTGTCAGAAGTTGTATTCTCATCTATTAGATCATCAGCTGGATGATATTTATTGCTCAGAAGTCAATCATTCTTCAGCCATTGTTCCCTTTAGAACACTTACAAACATCTTTCCTAGCTAGCCAAAAAGAAAGAGAGCTAAGAGATTTGAAAAAAAAAAATACTGGAGTAGCAATGTATTTGAAATTATACCAACAGTTTGACAATTCATAAATTTGTGTGAAATGATTCCAGTAGTGTCCAAGATGAAGTAAGTTTACTATAGCTTATAGCTTGCCATGATAATAACTAAAACTTTGGACGGAATACAAAAAGAAACAATGCAAAGACTTTAAAAAATAGACTGTAACAGACAGATTGGGTAGGAAGTCAAAAATTGAATAAAGTCCAGTATGGAAGCAAGTTAGTAGGGTTTTTTCCTCCTTTATCTCTGACATTTGATCTGAAAGCAAGCCGAGACCAAGAACTGCACAGAGAGCATGGGTAGCACATTCTCTTAACGAAATCGTATTTTTAAACAAAGGAAATGGGAAAAGGAAATTCTTCAGCTACAGAATGCAGAAGAAAGCTGGTGGGTTGTTTTTTCTTTATTTTATTTGGCTTTTGTTCCTTCCCAAAACCTGCTTTGAGTTCAGCCCAGTTGTTCTGTTACAGTAGCATAGACACCTAAAACTTGAAGGGAAATGTATCACTCATATTGCTGGTGAAAATGCAAAATAGTACAAACACTCTGGAAAGCAGTACAGCAGTTTCCCATAAAATTAAATATGTGCTTACCACAGAACTCAACATTTTCACTCTTGAGTAAATATCCTATCAAAATGAAAACATGTTTACACAAAAACTTGTAGAGGAATATTTATAGTATCTTTATTCACAATGGCCCCAAATTAGAATTCAAATATCCTTCAAAATAAAAAGTGTGGTATATCCATGTTAAGAATACCACTCAGCAATAAAAAAGGAAAAGGGTAGTAATAAATGCAACAAGCTGGATGGATCTCAAGGGAATCATGCTGAGTGAAAAAGCCAATCTCGGATTGTCACAAACTGTATGGTTCCACTTATGTAACATTTCTTCAATGACAAATTACAGAAATAGCGAATAGATTAGTGGTTGATAGAGGCTGGAAAGCAGGGGACAGTAGGGCAGGTGAAGGTGGCTATGATTTTTAAAGGGGTAGATTACAGATTCTTGTGATGGAATTGCTGTATATCTTGAGTGTTATGGTAGTCATATAAATCTACACATGTGAAAAAAATTGCATAAAAGAAATGGACACACACACAAATTAGTGCATGTAAAACAGGCGAAATCTGAAGAAGATAGGTAGATTATATCAATTTCCTAATTGTGATAATGTACTATAGTTATGCAAGATGTTACTATGGGGAAAAACTAAGGAAATAGGAAATGGTGTATGGGATCTCTCTATTATTTCTTACACATTCATGTTAACGTACAATTAGATCAAAATTTTTTTAAAAAGTAACGTCTGGGAAAAAATCCTGTATAGGTATATATAGGTAATTTCTTGGTTAGCATTGCCTTTACTGTATTCCATATGTTTGGGTAGTTGTGTTTTCATTTTTATTTGTCTCTGACTATTTTCTAGACTTGTGATTTCTTCTTCGAACCACTGGTTGTTGAAAAGTATGTTGGTTAATTTCCATGTACCTGTGTATTTCCAGCTTTTTCCTGTTATTTATTTTTAGATTAGTTCTACTGCAGTCAAACAACATAGTGTATATGATTTCAGTCTTTTTAAAAACATATTGAAACTTGTCCCATGGCCTATCGTTTATCTTTAGCATTTGAAGTTGTTTTCCTGTGACAGCATACATTTTATCCAATGTGACCATATCTATCTCTTAATTGGTGTGTTTCAAGCATTTACATTTATTATTACAAGCCAGTCCTCCAATGTATATGGAATCGGGCATAGCTGAAATAATCTTGAAAAAGAACAAAGCTGGGGGACTCACGCATCCTTAGTTCAAAACTTACTATGAAGCTACAAGAATCAAAACAGTATGGCACTGACATAAGGATAAACATATAAATAGATAGATTTGAGAGTCCAGAAATAACCTCTTACATCTATGACTAATTGAGTTTTTACATAAAAATGTGCATTTAATAACATCTACAATACATTAAGTTGAACTTACAGAAATAAAAAGTAAAACATTTGGAAATTAATCTGAGAATACAGACAGATCTATAGGAAACAAACTATAAACACAAAACCCAACAAGTTTGGTGGTGAAAAGAATCAATATTTAAAACTCAATTTATATTCTAATGACTCTAATTAGGTTAACTGCATCATACAATGGTCCATATTTTTCTTCTATGACTTGTATAATATTTATACTTTGAACAAATGTGAACCTAAAGGAGCCAATCATTCAAGATGGAGCCCAGGTGGCTAAATGAGCCTCAATTTTAAATAGATGCAAGTGGCCATTTGTTGACTAGACATCACACATGTATTCTTTCTCTGAAAAGAATTCTTTGAAAATCCAGACCTCTGTTTAACTTTGGAACTTCAATGCTGACCTTTACCAACCACTCAGGCCTGAGTTTTATCAACCAATCAGGGCTTAGCTGTATAAACCAACCATTCAGAACTAAGCACGTTTGAATTCTTTATTTGAATAAACAGACCTCATCGGGAACGTAGGAAGGAACTTTTGCTACAAAAACCGAATCCTCCCTTTGTTCTCTGGAACATGCACCTTCATCTTACATCAAAGGCTGCATCTCTGGTTTGCAAATTGTTCAAGGGAATAAAATCCCTTTCCTCCAAATTCCTTTTCAGAGAACTATTGTTCACAATACTGAGCAGAAAGTCTCTGGGTTTAACCAACAAGTAATTTTCCGTTCATGTTTCTTTGCAGTGGAGGTTTATTCATCCTTCCCCGGATGGACTGGAAAATTGGCAGTGCCCAGGTTCATCACAGGACAGATACTCAGGACATGCTGATCTCGGAGAGTTGAAGGAACAAAAAAACTGGATACAGTGGCTCCTCAGCAGAAACACATGGGTGTAAGGATTTGGGATCCATCTTCAGTTTAGGAAAATAATTTTTTTTCCATGTTCGTATACAAGAAAATCCCCATTTGCTGTAACGTGGGGTCCACACGGGAGATAGGCCTTGTGCTGGCAAAGAAGTAGCCTCCTGCCCTCAAACTCAGAGTCCAGGATAGACACTCTGAAGTGTAATCTTTCCTTGTTGATCAAGAGATTTTTTGCAAATTGCCAGCTCCCATTCTTCACCTGTTCCCATACCCACCTCCCAATCATGGTCACCAGAGGTAAAAGGAGGAGAGCCCAAGACACAAACTGTGAAGTCGAATCTCCCAGCAAGCTCTTGCTGATTCTATTTGATATGCTTACATTGGATGCTCCAGAGGTCATCAGAAATAATAAAGAAGTTATGGGTCGTGTCAACATCCAAGGTCACGTCCACTTGGAACTTCAGCATTCTAGGATTCATCTGTAGAAAAGCTCTCAGCTGGGGCTCCATTTCCTTGATATTGGGAATCTGCTTTCATAGCTGCCAGTTGGACCTGATGTCATTTTTCTGAGAAACCACTATGCAAAAGAAGAACAATAAACCTTTTCCATGAGGCTCTTTCTGCAGTGAATTGACACTGTTGAGGCAGAAGATGCATACACGTTTCAGGTTCATTGGTTTCTCAAGATAGTTTCAGGTACATTGGTTTCTCAGGATACGTTGACCAGATGGGAAATCTTCTTAAAGCTTGTAAGAGTTTGTCCATGTCCACTCTTCTGTGCTAGAATCTCTTCTATACTCTATTTACTTCCACCAGTAGTTTAGGTCTTGTGGGGAAGAGACACAGGAGAGCCTTTTATTGATGAGACTCCTTCCTGTCTCTTTAGCCACACCCTGCCATGCCTCTTTCTCCTAATCAGATTTTGATTTTTAATTATATCAGATAATTAGGGCTTATATTGTATTTTTTATTGATATATCATAGCTGTACATATTTTCAAAGTGCATGTAATATTTTCATACATATATACAATGTGCAATGATCAAACAGGGTAATTGTGATATCTGTCACTTAAAACATTTTTCTTTGTGTTGAGAACATTACAATTCTCTGCATCCACTTAAAAATATACAAATTATTGTTAATTATAACTTCCCTATTGTGATAATTTATTTTTAACAAATTTTCAAAGTTTATTTAATGAGGCAAGCATAGTGACTTCAATTGATGATACTGGGCCAACTGGATTTCCCCATGTAAAAGAATGAATGTGGATTCTCACCTCACCTCAAGACATATATAACATGTTATTACTAATGTAAGTGTAAAAACTAAAACCATAAAACTCTTAGAATAAAACATAAGAGTAAATCCTCATGACCTAGGTTTGGGCCATGAATTCTTAGATACGCCACTGAAAGCACAAGCAAAAACAACAAAAATAGATAAACTGGACTTCATCAAAATTAAAAATGTTTTTGTATTAAAGATTAAGAAGGTAAAAATACTAACCAAAGAATGGGAGAAAAAAATTGCAAATTACATATCTGGTAAGAGTTTCATATTCATTATAGGTAAGGAACTCCTACAAAACAATGAAAAACACAAAATCCATTAAAGTATGGTCAAGGAGCTTGAATAAACATTTCTCAAAAGAAGTTATACAAATGGCCAATAAGCACATGAAAAGGTGCTCGACATCATTAGTCATTAGTGAAATGTAAATCAAAACCATAATGAGATACCCATTTGATTCTTACTGGAATAGATATAGTTTAAAAAAAAAAAAACAAAGTGTTAGTAAAACTGTAGAGGAATTGGACCTTTGTACATTGCTAGTACATTAAAAAAATTGTTAAGAGGGTAGATCTTATGTTAAGTGTACTTACCACAATTTAAAAAAAAAAAGAATGTAATATGGTATAGCCACTGTGGAAAACAGTTTGCTGGTTCCTAGAAAAGATATTCAAAATAGCCAAAAAAAATAAAGTATCAAAATGTGTATCAACAGATGGATGGATAAACAAAATGTGATAAATAACATACAATGAAATATTACTCAGTCATAAAAATGAAGTTTTGATACACACTACAACATACATGAACATTGAAAACATTATGCTAAGTAAAATAGACCTTACACAAAAGGACAAATATGGTATAATTCCATTTATATGAACTATCTAGAATAGTCAAATTCCTAGATGCTTCAATAATTTCCAGAGAGGCTTCCTTCATTGTGTGATATTATTTTTGTTTTACTGGGACCATTTTCTTACAATATGAAAATCTTTCCAAATTATATGTTTCATTCTGGGGAGTCTTGGCCATCTTCCCAGTTTATAATTTACAGAAAGTGCACCCAACATATAGCAATTATGAAAATTGAACAAGAATATTATTATTAAGTAGCTCATCAAGTCAAAGGAATTTCATGATTTTCTAATGGAATGGGTTGGCTCAATCTCTAACTATCGACAGGCCAAGCCTATCATCACATTTAGACCTCTACTTTGCCTCATGTTCAGTTCTGTTCCTGTTAAAGGACAATGACCATTGGTCCTCTGACCCTTGCCATTAATCATTTTAGAAGTTATGCCACTAAAATTTTTAATAATTTCCATAAGATTGAAGAAGTGCTCTTTTTTTTTTGCACAATGATAAAACTCCAGCTATCTTCTTTATTCTGTTTCTTCTTGAAGATTCATGAGCCACATTAACTGTAACTATTTCTGATTTTCCATATTAGGAGTAATCATTTTTCTCCCAATGTATTTTTAATAAGTCCAATAGTGAGGAGTATTACAATTTCAATCCTTTCAAAGTGTCTAAAGCGAATAGTGGCCATGCCTGTCATAACTGTCTCTAGGACTTTGAGTTCTTTACCTGACTAGAGGTTCAGCTACTTGCAACTTCCAAGACGCTACCTTTTCTCAGGAAATTGTTCTATATTCCATCTTCCGATTCCACTAACTTCTCCTGCCTGTTCTCTGCAGCACAGCTTTCACTACTGATGTAAAATTCCTCTGCAATTGCCCCCTTGGACTTAATGTTTCCAAACTCGCAGGATATGCAAAAGTTTAGAACCAACATAATATATTCTTTATTTACTGTGATTCCTAATCACTCAAAACCAAAAATCAAACTTTTATAACTAAGAATTGCATTGAAGTCATAAATGTTCCTTTCAATACCATACAGAAACATCAATCATCGTTGGTCTCACAATAACCATACAAAATGAGATTTGGAGTTGCAGGTGTGACCTTGGTTGTTCTGTAGTAAGTATGTCGTATTTATTGAAATCCCATTGGAAAGAAAACTCATGTCTATCCCTTTCCATTAAGTAAGATCCTTTTATTTGAAACATTGTTCACCGAACTAAAACTCTATGCATAGTGATTTATTGTACTTCATGTATGGGTTTTTGCAGTTATGATCTAACGGTAATAGAAGCAGAGTTATCAACATGCACTAAAGGCCTTGTAATATTTTCCTCTGTCTTCTGAGGCATAGGCCTATTACAATGTATTTACGTCTTACATTTGAAATCTTTTAAGTTATGCATTACATATTCATAGGTTTTAAATTATCTGCATCTACTTGAAATAATGTAGACAAATCTTATGGTCCCTTTTGGGTTCTTAATAGATCTTCCTCCTCCCTACCATTGGGATTTAAACAAAGGTCTATAGCTAAAAATAATGTCTACCTTTATGTTCTGTCTGCATATGTCATTCATGGACACACATATACCACACCACTCTAAGTGTAAATGTAAAATAAAATAAGGTTTATTGGGGAAACTCACAAGCAGAGATGCAGCAGAGTACATGACTCTTCCATCCTCTTGATGGCAAGTAGAGAGGCATGCTTGGGTAGAGCACAGCTGGAGAGCCTCTGAGCTTAGCTTCTGGTATCAGGCTGTTGTACTAATTCAAAAGTGTTGTGCCAGCCACTTGGTAAACCACCAAAAGTGTGTAGGTGTTTGTGAGGGGGATTTGGGAGGAGGATGAGCCTCAAAACCATCCAAAGTTTTTTCTCCTCGGTCAATCCCGTGGCCCTTGGTTGTTCATTAAATGTGAGCCTTCCTACTAGCTCTAATGGATCCTGAGTGAGAGTCATTCTTGCATAGTTGTCTGGGAGGTCTCCTGCTGCCTGGATAGTAAGTCACTGCTTGAAACAATTGTAAAAGATCATTTTGGCCTTTGCATCCATATGTGATATGGGAAATTTACACCCACCACACACTTTCTGGTGTCAGAGATATTAATGCCTGAGGTCTGTCATCCCTTTTTGATTAAAAGCCAGGCTTTATATCTACTTTTAAGGAAACAAACAAAAAAAGTCCTGCAGGGACTCAGGAATCATTCTTATTAAAAACAACTTCTGGGGGTAAAAAAAAATAGTTGTAGAACCATAAGAGGCAATGTCACTATCTAGATTCATGTCTCTTCAGGCATCCCCAGACCGAGCGACATACACCACCCATCCACCCACCCAGGTCATACGCTGCCCATCCACCCACCCAGGTCATACGCTGCCCATCCACCCACCAAGGTCATATACTGCCCATCCACCCACCAAGACGATACACCACCCATCCACTTACCAAGGGTCATAAACCACCCATCCACCCACCAAGGTCATACACCTCCCATCCACTTACTAAGGACCATAAACCACCCATCCACCCACCCAGGTCATACGCTGCCCAACCACCCACCAAGATGATACACCACCCATCCACTTACCAAGGATCATAAACCACCCATCCACCCACCAAGGTCATACACTACCCATCCACCCTCCAAAGTCATAAACCATACATCCATGTACCGTTGTAAAAGCAAACATAAATTTTAAAAATATTAAAGATGGCCAAACTGCTCAAACTCTCCTGGCTTATTACCCTATGACTCCTGGATATACTGTTGCTCAGCTAAGATAGAGGAGATAGGGCAGTATACAACTTTTACAGAGCAGGAGGCAGCCAGTTCAGCTAACCTTTTAGATGTTATTAATGGAGAGGCTAGAATGGGTGGAAAATACAGGATTCTATTAATGTCAAGATATTTTCCATTGGTCATCCTAGTCAAATATGGTGGCTTTATTACTATGATGAGTGCAAACCTGGGTACAACAAGCAGGAGTAGAGACGATGGCCACATATGTCTGTTTGGATTTTTCAGCACAAACTGCAATTCTCTGCATCAGCCTCCTGAGTAGCTGTGACTACAGGTGCCCGCCACAATGCCCAGTTAATTTTTCTATTTTTAGTAAAGACGGGGTTTCACCATCTTGGCCAGGCTGGTCTTGAACTCCTTACCTTGTGATCCACCCGCCTCAGCCTCCCAAAGTGCTGGGAGTACAGGCATGAGCCACCACACCATGCCCAAATTATTTCTTTTAAATGTGGTCACATCACATGGACAGGTATACATGTAACACTAAGACTGAGTTCATGATTGAGTTGTTTCAATGAGAGGTAGCTGCTAAAGGCAGCACTTTCTTGCCTTTAATAGTCTAGTCATGAGTGACTCAAAGCCAGACCATATATTAATGTACCATGTCTATAATAACTATACCATGTATCTATATAGATTTTTATTTCAGTCAAGTATAATAATGTACCATGCATCTATATAGATTTTTATTTCAGTCAATTTCAGATGGGCTACTCCATGATCAAGATGACAAAAGTTAAGTTCATTGTGTAGAACCACCAATGCTGTGAGTTATCAACAATTTACCATCACTATGTATGGCAGATTGTGGTGGCATTGCATGGGATTTATCCACCTTGGAGAAAAGTTATTTCTTTTTTTTTAATCAGTGACTCATGCCTTTTCTAAGGTGGAAAATCTTATTGGCAAAACTCCTACTGTACTAAGGGTTTCAGTGAACAATATTTCAAATTTGGGTAAAGGTGTATGTGGGCCAATTTATGAGAAATGAGTAGGGAGCTGCCCGTTCATAAAGCTAATTAAGACTCAGAAACCAAGCCTAGCTGTTGATTGGTTGTATCATGTCCATTTTTCAATAGATTATTTTTGGGCTTAACTTACCTTAAAATTCTTACATAGTTTTTGGTTTGGTAAGAATGCTTTGCAGGAAAAAGTCACAAATCTTCCTTTAGTGAAAATGATTTGCCTTCAATAGGGCCCAATCACAGGCTAACAGCCGTTGATAAACATCGGAATAAAGTTCTCAAATCCAAAAACCCAGAAGCCACTGAACACTGGTGGAGGTTATTATTGTTTGTGTTTGTTTGTTTGTTTGTTTGTTTTTGGTAAGGCTCTAAATAGCTATGAGATTGGTCTCAGGAATAAGGAATTTGGGCCCTGAAGTAATTGATAGCCCAAGAATAGGGTTTGTCTTACTGATTAAGGAGGCTTTTCAAGGTTGTGGCCTGCCCATCAAGTTTGGACAGTAACCTGCAGCCTTGGGATAGAGATTGTAGTAACATGCACAAGTATAGAATTCATTTTCTCCGATATCAAAAGAGGTCAAACAATTGATGGGCCTCCTTCTTTCCAGGGGGAGACAGAAAGGCCATCAAATTTAACTTAATAGACTGAATTGTCTCTAAGGATTGAAGTCTAGTTAGCTCCCAAGTGTGCCAGTCTGAGTCTATCCACATTTAAGGTCCTATTCATATTTAGTCACTTGGGCTTAGATGCTATGTCATGCAATGAGAAGAGGTTTTTCTTTTTCATTGGCGACAACTATCAAAATAATATCCATATCCTGGAATGTTTAGACCTCATCTATTAGTCCACAATGTATTCAGATTTGTCCAGCTTCACTTGCCAGGGAAGCTTGGACAAAAAAAACATATTGTGTTGCTTGTCAAGTAAAGAGAAACCGATGTGGATGTTTTATTAAAGGGGTATGGAAAAGACAGCATTAGCAATACCCAAGGTTATATATAAAATATCATTGGAGATGGCTATTTATTCAGTCATTGTAATGAGATGCTGCATTACAACAACAGTTTCTTGTTTGTAAGCCTCAATAGTCCACAGTGAATCTCCAAGTACCAGTGACTTTTAATGACTTTCACTGGCCAGAATACGAGGTTGTTTTTATAGCACCCTTGCCTCCAATGATGCTTGGATGAGGAGAGTACCTTTTTTTTTTTTAAACATCTTGTCAGAGGTGACATTGTTTCAGCGTTACAACCATTGACACCTTTTAAGCTATTAAGCAGTTCTGAGCCATGCATTCAGCTACTAAAGAAGCCACCAACAACAGTCACAATGAATACATCTGATCAGTAGGTCCATGCACCCACTCACTCAGAACATTCATATGAATCAAAATGCAGGATAACAGAGAAGAACAAGCACAGTTCAGAGCCCCTTCCCTTTCCAGGATCCTCCTCCAAGAAAATGATCAGTAGCCAAATGAAATGTGATTTAATCAAAATTTCCTTAAATCAAACAGTTCAGGTTTTCACTTCAATTCATTGAGTTGTCTGCATTTTTCACGGAAGAGGCAGCCAAATACTTTCCAGGCATTCATGTCAATCAATCTGGATGCATTTCTGAGCAGCTTCTGTTCTTGGCTTATACCTAGTATTTTCATTCTCTATAAAAAGTCTCGACCTTCCCTCCACCAGAGTGTTGCTAGTTTTTGTAACATTTAAAAATATCTTTTAGTTCCCCTCATCCTCAGCCACTGCCCTCAGTGTAGCTCCTCTCTATAATTGTATCAGCCATCCGTCTTTAATCAATTTGCAATGAATGGGATTCTTCCCACTCCCAGCCTACCACCCTTCGCTAGCATCTCAACGCTCCTGGACCCTGCCTTCTTCCTGCTAGTTACCTACAGCAGCGTCATTATGTTGTGTTGTATCTTTCCCGGGAAATCCTCACTCTGAGATTTCAGATTGTGGATTTTGCTGCCACCTCCCAATCACTGCATAGATCTAAACAGACACTACAAAGAACCTACTGCCTTTCATACTTGGCACACATTATGGTTAACTCATCCAATCTGAGTCTACAGAATATTAAGTCATCAGCCCTTCCACTTTTCTGTCCCAGAGAAGGAATATAGTTGAACTCTGCTGATTCCAAGAACATAAAGCCCAAAATAGAGTCTCATGTTCCTTCATGGTTGCCTGTTATTATGCAAAAGAGTCATTGACCCACCACTGCAAATGTAAGATAAAAGTTTCTGGGGGAAAACTTGATGGCAGGGAGAGAGAGGAGGTGGGAGAATTGCAGGCCATTTGTGTTTAATTGGCTTTACCCAATTAAAGAAAAAGTAAACTTTCTTGTATCTTCATAAGAGGTAATAGTTTTACAACTTGGAGCAAGGTATTTTCTGCTTAAGTTAGGATTCAGCTTTCCCAGAGAGAGTGGGAAATAGAAGCAGTTCTATTTTCTTTTTTGATGATTACATTTCAAAGGGGTGGCTCCCAGGTCCTTGAGAAAGATATTCCTGGGTTGTAAAAATGGCAAGAAGCTTTAAAAAGATTTAGATCTGAAAGGAGAAGAAAACGAAATTACAATTACAATTTTCTAAAGTAAATGCTCTAAGAAAAGGGAGGTGGGGGCCTAGAGTTAAGAAGAAGCTTGTCTAAAATTAAGCTGAGGGAAATGTTAAGGACTTCTTGGTCACCAGGTGTCCTTCCTGGACCTAACAATCATCAACTTGGGGAGCTATGAATGAAAGGAGACTAGCTCCAGCTCTAAACTATTCAAATAAACATCTATTATTCAGACAGACACTATAGACGGAGCCAGTGACACTAAGCGTAGGAAATAAAATGAGTAAAGAAAAAAGAAACTAAGGAACGGGGATCCAAAAATTACCTTCTTTGGATAGACAATGCAATGTGAGTCAAGCAAGGGACCCAAATATCAACATGACCTCTTCCTGATTCAGGCCCCTACATTCTTCCACCAGCCATTGCAAACTTCATCAATGGCAGGTGTTTAAAGATGCTGGCATCAAAGTAGTTTCTCTTCCCAGGGATGTAATGATTCACCACCCAACAGCTGCATTTCCTTTGACTGGAATGTCCTTGACTTGAAAACCTCTTTGAAACACACTGGAACTGATTCATCTGCTTTATGCTGACAAAGTCCTCAATTAACTGAGTCTCACACATTTTCTACAATGCTACCAAGTAATAGAAACTGATGCTTTCCTCTGAGGCCAGCCAGGAGTCAAGCACAAGTCAAAGGGGCATTTGGATGGAGTAGCCAGAATTACTGGGAAAACAAAATTAGCAGATGGGCACATGAAGTCAAGCAGAAAGGGAGTAAGACATGCCAACTGCCACCCTCTTTTTTATGGCACTCATCATTACCAGTTAAATCAGTGGACACTGTAGTCATTTTTTTTTTACCATAAATGTATTAAAAACATTTAGTTTTACCTTATCAAAAATTGAACATTTAATAACTTGTCTTTCTCCTCAACTGACTCTCAGTGCTGCCATTTAGCTTTTTAAACCTTGGAAATAATCCCATCATCCATTTCTGTAAAAGTTTTAGTGGCTCTTCTCAACTTCAGAATAAAGTCAACACCAAACCCCTTAACCTAGCAAAGAAGATTTAAAAAGCTCAAACATGTTTCTTCCCAATTCCTCACTGGTGGGGACTTCATGTACTTGTGGACATATGAAAGGCAATCACTAGAATTGTGCTGTACAGTAAACACATCCAACAAATTTCTTCCAACCATTTCCAAATGGAGCTGCCTTCCCACTCACAAACTGTTACTATATTGTTATTTGAAGCCAAAAAAACAGTTTTCACAGTTGGGGGTCTAAGTCTCTCATATGATCACCCAACGAGCAGAATGTAACCCCTTTAGGACATGGATATGTTACATTCATTTTTATTGTCCACACTACCTATAAGACAGAGCCTGGCTCAAAGTTGATCCTCAGTGAAAATGTACCAAATGATTGAAATTAATTAATTATAAATAAATGAGTGGATAAATGACCATGAAACGACCACTTGGAAATAACTTACAGCTCTGAAAAGAGAAATGTAAATATGTACTAGAAGAGATGAAAGTTGTGGTGTTACCCTAGATTAATTAGGCTGGACCACTGAATTCATCAACCACAGATTTACCCTACACAAAAACACTATATAGGATACATGGCAAAAATGGCATGAGGATTCTTTTATCTTATTCATCAACTTCTCTGGTAAGTAGGAGAAGGCATTCTGTTTCCTGAAATTACTTTACTTCAGAATCTTTTTCAGTCTCTAGTATTGATTGATCTTCATCAATTTTAGCCTTGAAATGATGAAAAGGGTAAAACATAAACAAAGAGCCGCCTCCACAATTTAGGTGGAGAACATTCATCAGCGTGAACCGCTCTAACTTAAAAGCAGTGAGGAAGAGTAGTCTCTCAATGCCGAAGTATAGTTCTCAGCTTTAATGAAAAAGAGACAATTAGAACAAAGGCACTTGCTCTCTTCAAGTCACAATTCATCAAGCTGTCAAAGACAATAAAATGCTACATACCTAATCTTTCCTGTTAACCATAATGTAGGCAATGCAATTACATTGTTGCAGCAAATTGGCAAGAATTAGAGGAAGAATTAATGTAAAAACCCTGTGAAATTTTCTGTTCCAGTAAATGGTGTCATTCATATTTAAAAATCTGGTAAAGAAATATTAAGTATAAAGTGAATTAGCAATAAATACTTCTTATTAGGCCAATTTTCTTTCTCAGCAGTTTTAGAGACATATTTTTAAGTATATAAGCAAGGAAAAAATCAATTAGCACCACAAAATTCACTATTAAAATTAAAACCTAATGATAATTAAAACCTAGGTGAAATGGAAAGTAGTAACACACTTTATAATACATGGAAATGAGAGAGGACAGATAAATTTAATTTCAAAAGTAGTCAGAATGCTTTGAGTACACTTTTTCCATAAATGGTGGTTCCACATGCACGCAGAACAGGAAATTATAGATGACTATGAAATTATATTGTTAAATGTAAAAAGCATTCTAAATGACCTCTGTTTGCAAAACTCAGTTCTGTAAGGAACACAGAAAAATAAAACAAGGTTCCACTCTCTAAAGGCACAGTTATTAATTAAGGACCTATAAATGCTAGGCCTAGGGATTAAAAAGATGAGGACAGGGCCAGGCGCAGTGATTCATGCCTGTAATCCCAGCACTTTGGGAGGCTGAGGCGAGGGGATAACCTGAGGTCAGGAGTTCGAGACCAGCCTGACCAACATGGAGAAACCCGTCTCTGCCAAAAATACAAAATTATTTGGTCATGGTGGCACATGCCTGAAATCCCAGCTACTCAGGAGGCTGAGGCAGGAGAATTGCTTGAACCCAGGAGGCGGAGGTCGCGGTGAGCCAAGATTGTGCCATTGCACTCCAGCCTGGGCAACAAGAGCCAAACTCTGTCAAAAAAAAAAAGGAGGGGTCAGTTATAACCCAGATGAGCCCCAAATTCTCTGAGGATGTATGAATAAATCGTTGCAATTTTTAGCCTTCCTTTCATGTATGGCAAGAAATGAAAGACATTTATTTTCACATTTGATCTAATCCTGCCTTATATTTTCTTCTTGGTGCATAGCAGTGATGAGCCTCGTTCTCCAGGTTTATTTGACATTGTCATTTAAATTTATTCATTACGCAATTAATTCAAAGATTAACCCCCATCATTGCTGTTTCTCCTGGTTGCACCTTTCCCACCTCATCCCCCACAACCCCCACAAGAAACCAATGCCTGTTTAGAGACATGGGCTGTATTGCTGAATCTAAAGGACTCTAGTGATGCGGACACTCTCTGAACCGCATTGTGTCCAATGGATTCTGGCTTCACTTGCTGAAGGTTCAGCAAACTGATTTCTCCTTTGCTATTTCATTACTACTTTGATTCTTGCTGCCATTTGGGTTCTCTCTGTGTTCTCATGACCTTGGCCATGTGTGTACTTTGCCCCACCAGATCAAGCCTCCCCTTTCATTTCCCTCCATGGCAAGCTTATCAGCCAGCAGTATCAGCCACTTGCATCCTGCCAAAACCATGAAATAAGATCTATCTACCCTTTCCACATGCACCAAAACCACCACTAGCTCTAGCACTTTTTTTACTCTTACTTTCTCTGTCTCTCTTTCTCTTGCTCTCACTTTCTGTCTCTTTCTCTCTCCTTGCTTAAGTAGAACACATGTCTATTTCTACTCAGATATATCCACATCATGTTGAATTTTCATTTTTGAGTTCCAAATAGAAAGTAGAACAAAATCATTTCTTCCCTTTTTTGCTTTTCTTCAATAAAACAGTCTTATCTCTCTCTCTCTCTCTCTCATGTATTCTGTAATTCCCCTCCTTCTCTAGACAAAAAGAAGAGCTTTTTGATTATGTTTTCAGTTAGCAGATACATACCACATGCTATATTATTATTACGTTTCTTCCAGGGATTATAAAGCCACATACTTTAGGTCTTATTATAGACAGGTTTCAAGGAGAGGAAACACTTCTTTCTGGTGAGCAAAACATTTACAGAAGTTTATCATAAGAATTGTCGCTATTAGACTCATGATCTTATTACAAGTATGGCATAAGAAGAAAATGTAATGCTGTGAAAACATAAATAAGAGATTGGATTAATTTAGGAGACTGAAGAAGTTTCAGAAAAACCTGAGCATTTGATTAAAATAGTAAGGATGAGCAGAATTTCCAAACATTGAAAAGACATATTAAAAATCGAAGATCCATTTGTATCTATAGACATACCTGTATTGACCAACAAAACATAAAAGTTGGATGGTACAGCTGCCTGCCAAGATCCCAGCCCCCAAATATATTGTGTCCTGCCCAAGAGCCAATGCTACTGCTGCCGCCACTGCTGCCTACACTGGGCCAGGATGGAGAAGGGAGGCTGAGCATGCTCGTGTACCCTGAGGACAAGTATCACCACTGGTGCTATGGGTTGCTGTGCCAGTGAGTCATGGGCAGGGTATGTGCCCCCACAGCTGCCTGTCTGTGCTGCTTCCACTGAGAATGACCCTGCCCTCACCAGTGGCAGGCCTTCAGAGCAGCTGCCACTCTCCCTACCTGAGCACTCAACCAGCAGCCTAAGGACAACCTGCCCCTGCCTAAACAATCAGCACCTGAATGAACTACCAAGGGGCCTGACGATAAGTCCATTGGCCTGGTCCCATCTGCCTAGTACATGAGCATGACACCTATGGGCCTGGAAATAGCCCAGACCAGCCCACAACCACTGGCACTTGAGCAACTTTCCCAGAGTATAAGGTTGGGCCAATGCAACTTGTGGATACCACCAAAGCTGGCACCCGCTTAGATGTGCCACCAGCAGGCCACGGGACTTGTCCCCCAACCTGATACAGCCACTCCAACACCAGCTCGGACAGCTTGGGTTCCAGTGGGTTGCACCACCACTGGTACTGCCATCACCCACATTATGTACATTGCCCAGGAGCCCAAGATCACCCACCCACATGCCCAGCCCACTGCTGCCACTACTAGTATTTAAGCAAGCCACCTGGAGGCACAAGAATTGGTTCACCTGGACCTGTTAGCACTGGATCCAGTAAAGGATCCTGTCCTTCATGCTTGGGGCTGAAAGACAGGCATGCTGAGCTCACCACTGCCACCACAGGGGCCCAAAGACTAGGCCATCTGGAATTCCAGTCCCCAGCAAAACTTCCTCTCAGCCTCCACTAATAACTGCACTCTAAGCTACCAAAGAAATAGCAGATACCACTGATGCTGTTTACAGATAGAAAAGAGAATATACCACTGCATACAGCCAAAACTAAACCCAAAGTGCACTATCCAATCAACATCATAGATATATCTTCAGGAAAAAGTCCTCCCTAGATAGAATATTTTAAAAATTGGAAGAAGTGATTGTTACATCAGATGTGCAGATATAAATATAAGGACACAGGAAACATGAAAGTGCAAGAAAATATGACATCTCTAAAGGAACAATAATTCTTCAGCAACAGATCCCAATTAAAAATATTTGCAAAATCCCAGATAGAGAATTCAAAATACTCATTTTTAAAAAGGACTGCAAGATATAAAATAATTCTGAAACATAATACAAAAAAATCAGAAAAACCACCCAGGGTAGGAAAGAGATTTTATCAAAGAAATAAATTTAAATTAAAAAAGAAAACACCCACAGGAATTCTGGAACTGAAGAATTCATGGAATGAAATGAAAAATTCATTTTAAACATTTAACAATAGAGGGTATCAAGCAGAAGAAAGAACCTCAGAATTTGAAAGTAGGTCATTTGAGATAACACATTGAGATTAAAAATAAAGAAAAAAACAAATGAAAGAGAATGAGCAAAGCCTTAGTGACATTTGGGACAACATAAAGTGACAAAATATTCCAAGTATCAGTGTCCTTTAAGTCAAAGAGAGAATGAAAGGATTATAAGACCTATTTAATGAAATAATCAACAAAAACTTCCTGAGTCTCGCAAAAGAATTTGGCATTCAGACACAGGAGGCTTGGGGACCCCTAAGTAGGTACAGTGCAAAAAAGATCTTCTCCATGGTACATTATAGTCAAACTGTTTAAAGTCAAAGACAAAGATAAGATTCTGAAAAACAGAAAGAGGTAAGTATCTAGTCATCTACAAAGGAACTGCCATTGGACCAACAATTGGTTTCTCAGAAGAAACCTTACAGGCCTTACAGGAGATAATAGGATGGCATAATGAAAGTAATGAAAGAAAAAAGAATTGCCACACGAAGACACTACATACAGCAAAATTATTCTTTATAATGAAGAAGAAATTACATCCTTGCCAGACAAGCAAAAACTGAGAAGATACATTATCACTAGACTAGCCCTACAAGAAATGCTCAAAGGAGTCCTAAACCTGGAAGCTAAAGTGTGACATTACCATCATGAAAACACAAAAAACTATAAAACTCACTGGTAAATCAAACACACAAATGAGAAAGAGAAAGAATTCTAGTGGCACCACTATGTAAAACCATCACACTATAATAACAAATCATAAACTTTAGAAAAAAGAACAAAGAATATACAAAACACCCAGAAAACCATTAGCAATATGACAGGAACATAACCTCACATATCAATAATAATTTTTAATATAAACAAACTAAATTATTTACTCAAAATATATAGACTGGCTGAATAGAATTTTTTTTAAAAAAAGATCCAACTATATGCTGCATACAAGAAATGTACTTTACTATGAAGACACTTAGAGATCAAGTAAAGGGATGGAAAAATATATTCCATGCAAATGGAAACCAAAAGCAAGCAGGAGTAGCTATATTTAAATTAGATAAAACAGACTGTATGTAAAAAACAATTTAAAAAGACAAAGAAGATCATTATATAATGATAAAGGGATAAATTCAGCAAGAGGATATAACAAATCTAAATATATATGCACTCAACCCTGGAGCACTCAGATTTATAAAGCAAATATTACTGCATCTAAAGAGAGAATCCAATAAACCAATAATAGCAGAGAACTTCAACACTCCACTCTAAACCTTAGAAAGATCATCTAGTCAAAAAATCAACAAAGAGACACAGGTTTAAAACTGGACTTTAGACCAAAGGGACCTAATCGATATTTACAGAACATTTTATACAAGGCTGAAGAATACACATTTTTCTCATCAGCACATGGAACATTCCCCAGGATAGACTATATTTTAGGCTACAAAACAAGTCTCAACAAATTTTCAAAAATTAAAATCATATCAAGTATCTTCTCAGATGACAATTAAAAAAACTAGAAATCAATACAAAGTAGAACTTTGAAAACTGTACAAATTCATGGAAATTAAACAACATGCTCTTGAATGACCACTGGGTCAATAAAGAAATTAAGATGGAAATAAAAATTTCTTGAAACAAAAAAAAAATAACATACTGGTAAGAATATGTAGAAAAGGGAATTAGTGCATTGATGGTAGGTAGGTACATAAGTCAACCAGTATGGAAAACAGTATGAAGACTTCTCAAAAATCTTAAAACAGAGCTACCATATGATCCAGCAATCCCACTACTGAATATTTGTCCAAAGGAAAAGAAATCTGCATATCAAACAGATACCTGTGTATTTATCACAGCACTATTCACAATAGCAAAAATATGCCATCAACATAAATGTCCAAAACCAGGTATAGGACCTAATAGACCAAGTGGTTAAATGCCCCAAAACAAGCAAGGTTAAGTGCCCAACCAAGCCGAGTCAGTTTTGCCACATCAGAGCTCCAATTAGGAAAACCTTGGTTTCTGACATGTGAAATGGAGCAGCTATCCAAAGAGAGTTGAGGCAGAACCTAGTGAGAAAAGGGTTATGCTATAGTAGATGCGAAGATGTGCCACTCAGATCATTCTTAAATGAAAGATCTTCTGTGAAGAGTGTGCTCAGCACACTATCCAACTGTCAGTCTCTTCAAGGTTTGTCTCAACTGTAAAGAGCAGCCTAGTCTGGATCACACTCTTCCCAGGGCAGCCCACATGCAGTTACTGAAGGAGGAGGGGGTGTAAAGTTTAGACAGTTCAGCCTCATGTAAAACACTCTAACAAATTTGTTCCAGAGCCATCTGCTGAATTGCTGGAAGCTTTGTCAAGTCCGTTCCACTGTTTTCTTTGTCCAAACCAGTCTCCTCTCTTTTGCTTTAATGGGTGTTCAGTACACATATTGAATCCCAAACTCCAATGCATTTTTCTGATGATGCCAAGCTACAACTCCAATAGCTCACAAAGAAAACTATAGTTCAGGGATTAAAATGCAATTAGAAAGTATTTGCTTTGTTGTCTATAGATTAAACTTAATGAAATATTTGATAAGGAAATATATTTGAGATGATTTCTTACATATCTAAGAAACAGAATTTTTGGCATCTACAAAAATCCAATTCTTTTGAGTGCTAAAACAAAAATATTGCCTTTTAATCTTCCATTTCAATTGTCCTTTGGTGTATTTCTATGTCTTTAGTTCAGGCTTAATATACTGCTCATTCCTAGTCTGAAAATCAGCAAAATATATGGATTCTCTGTTGTATTTGAGCTAAGTGGAAAAAAGTTCATATTTATAAAGTAGATAATGCATAAGAATTGACTGAGATACAGTATCTGTTTATAAATCATCCAATTATTATTTATAATCATCATCTCTAAATATCTTATTGAGGTTCAACAAATGAAGCCATAAAATAGAACAATATTGCAAAGGGGGTGAGCATAGAATGAAAAGAGAAGAAATCTATGGTTTTTCATCATTAAAACATCAGGGAGGCCGGGCACAGTGGCTCATGCCTGTAATCCTAGCACTTTGGGAGGCCAAGGCGGGCAGATCACCTGAGGTCAGGAGTTTGAGACCACCCTGGCCAACATGGTGAAACCCCGTCTCTCTACTAAAAATACAAAAATTAGCTGGGCGTGGTGGCAGGCACCTGCAATCCTGGCTACTAGGGAGGCTGAGGCAGGAAAATCACTTGAACCCGGGAGGTGGAGGTTGCAGTGAACCGAAATCACGTGAAACTGAGGATGAGTAGCCAACGAAGAAAGGATGAACCAATAGAGAACGTACGTCATAAGCCAAGTGAACGAAATGCTTATAAAGGAAGGACTAGTCAATTATGTAAAATCCTGTGAGATGTAAACTAAGATGAGAATTACAACAGGTAATTGGATTTTGCAATGTAGAGGCCATTGGTGGCCTTCACAGAGCATTTTTTATGGTATAATGGGGTTAACATATTAACTGGAGCAGAAAAGAAAAGATAAATTAATGTATCTGTAAACATCTCTTTTTTGGATTTTTGTTATAAAAACAGGACGGAGAAATGGGAAAGTTTGCTGAGCATAAAATAAGGGAAAACACTTTCTTAAAAAAGATGGATGGAAAGATGCAATAAATAAACTAAGTTCCCTTGCAACTTCAAGATTCAGCATTCTAATAGTATGAAGAACAGCAATGCAATGCACTATGCTGCCTTGCTAGGTCATTTCTTTTTTTCATAAAGAAATTTTACCAAAGACTTTAATACATAAATGTAATTTTTAAAGATTCCTATTTTTCAGTCAAGTACTTTAAATTATGATCCGCTCTCTTAAACACCTGCTCACTTGTAATGTTCTTCAAAACAGCTCATTGTTAAACACCCAAGTTAACAATCTCTTAACAGGTTAAACACTAGCACTTAACTCCTAAAGTATATTAGCTACAAATTGAACATTAAGTAGAAAGCACTCAAGGCTATTTAAGGCTTTAGTGCCTTCTTATAAAGGTATGATATTTGCAATCAGGTATGGTTTTCATTAGCTATTATGGAAATAAACCACAGAATAAAGTTTCTAATTGGTATTATAGGAAAATGTGTCTCTGTAATCTGAGCATTTTGGGGGATAGAGGTGGGAGGATTGCTTGAGGCCAGGAGTTCAAGACCAGCCTAAGCAACATAGTGAGACCCCTGTCTCTCCACAAAATAACAAAAATAAGCTGGGCATGGTGGTGCACACCTGTGGTCTCAGCTACTCAGGGAGGCTGAGGCAGAAGGATCACTGGAGCCCAGGAGGTTGAGGCTATAGTGAGTTATGATCACACCACTACACTCCAGCCTGGGTAACAAAAGACCCTGTCTCAAAAAAAAAAAAAAAAAAAAAGGAAAAGAAAGAAAAAAAAAGAAAAAAGAAAAGAAAATATTTCTCCTTAGTCAAGAGCTGAATCTAAGCAAAGTTTTAGGTTAAAGTAAATAGATCCCTTGCCCTTTCAGCCAATTTATTTATGTCTCTCTCTGGTTATTTGGCCAGGAATATGCAGGGACCCTGGAATGCAGATTATATTTAATTGGCCATCCTTATCAGTGCTTGTTTGCTTTGGGAAGCAGGTGGGCGCCTGAGCACCTACTGCCAGAATTAAGTACACATCTAACTATTCCTTTGGCTCCTGGCAATAACTGCATTACCACTCACCTTTCCAATTCCCCACCCTGCCGCCCAGAGATGAGTTCTAACTGCCCAGGGCTCAAGGTGAAGAGATTGAAGCTGAGGCAAAGAGTTATCCCAATTTCCGGTGAATTTGTATTGTTAACAATTTAACTTTTCAAAGGATTTTGGAGTAAAGCAATCAACTCTCTGCTAGAGCTGGTCAGGACACACGGCTGAGATTGCTGAATCAATATGTGGAAACCTGACTGACAACTTAGGTAATTTGATGCAGGATTTGGGACAACAACTGGAGATAAATTACTTAACACAGTTGGGAACCAAAATTGTGTTCAGAAAGGGAGACGTGTTTTCCTCAGAAGAGTGAGGAGAATTGTACTGACAGGAAAGTGATGGGCGCAAGCAAAACTCTTACAAACATTATTCCATATGCAACTGTAAACGTTCTGGTGAATATCTTTGAATTGTCTTTGTAGGGGGTGGGGAAGTATTGTGAAATATATGTAAATCAACAGTGATATGAACATCTTCTGTTTAAAGAATGTAACTATAGAAGAGTTACATACCGAATTGTAAGAAAATGCTTATTTTGTGGAGAGAAAACTGCAGCATACAAAAAATATATTTTTTTCCTTTCTGAATCATAATGAAATCCTTTTAGAATTCATTTTGACTTATAACTAATCTGTGTAAAAGTTCTTTTATTAAAGTTTGTTTGAATTTTTAACAAGCTTGTATTTGTGTACTAAAGGAAGGTTCTCCCTCTTCACACCCCCACCCTCACCCACTAACCTAACATCCCCCTGTAATGTGATATATTCAGTATTTGCAATAACCAAGATGAATAGATCTGGCCACTTGGTCAACCCTGAATGTGTGAGGTGAAGAGGAAGGAAAGGAGAATGCAGAAAAGGGCAAGCTCAATTATTTTTTCACTGTCACAGTTACTGCCAACTCAGAGAAGATGCTTTCTTTTTCACATTTGTAAGCAAACAAATGTCAGAAAGTTTGCTGCATTTCTGCATTGCTTCAGTGAAGACTTAAAAGAGAGTAAGTTAAGTGCCTTCTGAGATGTAGCAGAGATTTGTTTGAGGTTTTTCAAATTTAATTTCCCTTTCTGATAGGATCCTAATATCGTTTCGAGGAATAATCTCCTCCAGTAAGGTTTCCTGCTTCCATATTTAAGGGATGATGACATGCGACCTGAGTTAGGCCAGTCAGATGCTTCCTCTTGAGCAGAAGGATAAAGAGACCAGAAATGACTGGAATTTCATTCTAGCAGCTGTAACCCACTCCGATTTTTACTCTTCCAAGACTCTTGTGTTTTTTGCTTTCTAGCTTTTGGGACTACCTGACCTGCTTGTTTCTTGTTGTTGTTTTTTGTTTGTTTTCGTTTTTTGTTTGAGACGGGGTCTTGCTCTGTCGCCCATGCTGGAGTGCAGTGGTGTGATCTCAGCTCACTGCAACCTCCGCCCCCAGGTTCAAGTGATTCTCATCCTCATTCTCCCGAGTAGCTGAGATGACAGATGTGCACCACCACACTTGGCTAATTTTTGTATTTTTAGCAGAGACGGGGTTTCACCATGTTGGCCAGGCTAGTCTCGAACTCCCGGCCTCACGTGATCTGCCTGCCTCGGGCTTCCAAAGTGCTGGGATTACAGGCATGAGCCACAATGCCTGGCCCCTGCCTGTTTCTAAGACCTATGCTCATGCCCAGCATTCCATGAATTCTGCAATCCTCCATTATTTTTCCAATAAATTTCCTTTTATGTAATTCACTCAGAGTTGATTTCTGTTATTTACAATCAAAGATCTCAAAACTCATACAGAGGATCATAGTTGACTGGCCCTGATGCTGGCAATTTCATCACAGTTCTCCAGGAACATATTTGTGTGTGTGTATGTGTATGTATGAGAAACCTCAATGGTAGCTCTCCAACACTTGTGTTACCTTTTGACCACTTCAGTTAATGTCTTTGGCAACATGTGCATATCATTATGGTAGCAAAACTGAATCATTTTCTTTGCTTCCTTTCTTTGTGAAATTGATCAAAAAGAGTACAGTTACAAATACCAAATACCAAGGAATTATCCTAAGACCTTCCTGTACTTCACTGCCTTTATCCAATACTTCACCAAGTCTTAGTGATTATAGCTTCTAAATATCTCTCTAGTCTACCTGCAGGGTCCCACCTCCACCATCGCTGCTCTGGATGATGGCTGTTTCTCTCCTGAGCAACTGCAAGAGCTGCCTGATAGCTCTGCTCATAATTACTTGTGTTCCTTACCATTCTGTTCCTCACATATGGCCACCAGAACAATCTTAATGGAATGATAATTTATACGTCTCACACCCTGTTTTTAACACTTTAGTAGCTTCCAGAGGCCCTAAGGCGGTGTCCAAAATCATTAGGTGCCCTCTAAGCCAAGTAGTCTGAGATCCCTCACTTAGATCCTTATTTCACATAACATCTGTAGTCCATCCACACCGTCTTTCACCTTCAGCAAGGAGCTATGATTCCTTTCTTTGCAGGGCCTCTTTAGCTACTTCTACACATTTTGCTTTATAGTTCCCTCTTTACTTTTTTCTAATTAAATCTTAAGCATCCTTCAGATATCAGCTAAATATCATGTCCCCAGAAATCACTTCCCACTCTTACTGACAAGATAAAATCCCCCTAGTATACTCTCTTTAGAACAATAAGAATTTATTGACACCAGTTATCCCAGTTGTATTTGTACTGTAGGATTCTTTGATTAAACAACACTCCTTTCCACTTCCCAACAATAGAGTACAACTTATGTAAGGGCAGGGACTGAATCAATCATTTTCATCATAACCCACCCAGATTGTCACTCTTCCAAGAATCCTGTTGTACTTCTTCCTTTACAGCTTTTGGGACTAGCGAAGTCCCAAAAGAACTAAGTTTAGTGTCTGACACTGGTGTTTGGTACTTGGTGATGAGTGAATAAGGTCAGTCTTTCTCAGGAAAATATGAATTCCTTGAGAACAGGAAATAAATGTCTAACACAGGTACTCAAAAATACAGTAGTTAATATATCTTCTACTTGGATTCAGTAAGGAAATTTTTCACCCTGACCACTGACAAAAGTTCTAAACATTTTCTTTATTATTCAAAGTCTTGTGTACATTTTGGACACAATCTGACTTCCCATAATTTTAAAAAACAAATTTAATATCAGACTCTCATCACTTAATCAGGGTCAACAAGCCAGCCATGGTAGCCAATAGTTTTTCTTAAACAGTCCATGATACTATTTTTCTTTCAACAGGGAACATTTTAGAAAATCTGAAATTATCAACTTTAGTAAAATGATTAACTTTTCCTCTAACAGACAGACTACTTTATTTTAAATGTTTCTTAATAAATTCTTAAGATATTTAAGGAAAATCCTAAATTATGTAACAACCCTACCTCAGTTAACTCTCAGACATGTGCCTTTGATTTTCTGGTGGCAATTCAGAATTATAGATTTAGACTAAAATCTCAGTCCCTACATCCACAATCCTCCCAAGGACCCCTGTGTTTGATGAGCCTCACTTGATCTGCTCTCATTTTCCAAGATTTGCCCTGGTCCTCTGATGCTAATGAGTGTTGGCAATTGTTTCTGACTGAACATTAGCCACTTTCCTTTGTAAATAGCAGTGGCTTCATCTGTAGACAGGCAAGTCTCCTTCTCTGGTAATATTAGTCCTCACTGAATTTCAGAAAGATTCAAAACCAGAAAACATTTAAGTAAACCAAAAGACCTTAAAATATTCATATGATGCTTAAAGCCAGGGAATATGTTTGTATTCTGTATGTTACATAGTAGGCTTTTAATTCATATTTGTGGGATTAATAAAGAATCTGTGAACTACGTCATGACTCCCACTTATTGTCAATTCAAACCTGCTCCACAGAACTATTTCCCAACACCTGGATGAAAGAGAATGCTGACTTTTTTTCCCCCACAACTCTTAGATAATAAAATATGCTATCAACAACCAATTTTAAAGAGCTAAACATATTTTGGGGTTCCATAGTCATTATAGCTTATCTATCACAGCTTACACTGATATCCCCCACCTGTCATAATTGCATTAGAGGGTATCTTCCTGGAGCTACTTTGGGTCAGCAGGAGTCAGACCTCCAGATGATGGGCACATTCTTAGGGACATTCAGTAGGCATTCAGGAAAATGAACCTTGGAACATTTGGCTGTGCTTTTCTATAGGAAATCTGGGAACTTTACTGGTTAATATCCACATGGCAGTAAGGGCAGATAACCCATTTGTAAATTGAGTTTTAGCTTTGCTTTTATCAGCAAGAAGTATGTGTAAACAGCATCTGCCCTCATTTTGTGTTGCTATAACTAGAATACCTGTGACTGAGTAATTTATAAAGAACAGAGGTTTATTTTTAACAATTCTGGAGGCTAGAAGTCCAAGATCAAGGAGGCCATATCTGGTGAGGGTATTCTTGCTGTGTTTTCCCATGGTGGAACGTGGAAGGGTAAGAAAGGAGAGACAGACAGACAGACAGACAGACAGACAGACAGAGAGAGCACACATTAACCCAAGAGATTGAACTCACAGCTTACAGCCCTTTTATAATCAGCCCTAATCCATTCATGAGGGAGGGCCCCTCATGATCTAAACACCTCCTGCTAGGCCCCACCTTCCAACACTGTTGCATTGGGAACTAAGTTTCCAACACATGCTTTTGAGGGACACATTTAAACTATAGCAGTATCTTTCAAGAGTGAATTAAAAATGACATTCTTCCCTAGTTCTTTATCAGTGCTGGACTGGACCCAGTGAAAAAGACTAGGAAAAACTTTTACATTAACTAGTTTTATAATTCATTGTACTAATTTTATAATTCATTGTCATTCAAGATTAAGCAACAAGCAACACAGACACTCTGTGGCATAGGCCTCAACAGGCACTGATAAGAAATGTGGAAATGGGGTTACAGCTGTCTCCCACAAATAGAGGGCCTTCTCCCCTATTGGAAGGGGATGACTGGCAGCCTGGGGCTTTTTCATCCTGGAAATCACAAAATCTATGATTTCACAGCCCTATATTTATTTTTGTTCCTTGCTACCCTAGATAAGGAAAGTAGATGAATAAAGTGTTCAGAAGGAAGATTCACAGTTCCAAGTAGCAAGAAAGAAGTAGTAGTTTTCTCTTAGTAGATGTGCCTTTTTTTTTTTTCTTAAGACAGAAGATATTTACCACAGAGACTGGAGTATTTTATAAGGCTACGGTTTTAGCATTGACAGCCATATTGTGACATTTGTACCTGAAGGAAACCAAAACAAAGATAAGAAAGTCAAAAATATACAGAATATTTAGTTCCTCATTAAAGTTTCAACTCCAGACAAAATTGTTCCCAGATCTATTCAATAATGTGAGCCAATATTGTTCCTTTTTTACGTACTGAAGCTTTAATTGGTATATTAGTCCATTTTCCTGCTGCTGATAAAGACATACTCAAGACAGGGTAATTTATAAAGAAAAACAGGTTTACTGGACTCTCAGTTCTACACGGCTGGGGAGGCTTTGCAATCATGGCGGAAGGCGAAACTCACATCTTACACGGCAGCAGGCAAGAGAGAAAAATGAGAGCCGAGCGAAAAGGGAAACCCCTTATAAAAGCATCAGATCTCATGAGACTTATTTACTACCATGAGGAGAGTATGGGGCAAACCGTCCCCGTGATTCAATTATCTCCCACCAGGTCCCTCCAACAACAGGTGGGAATTATGGGAGCTGTAATTCAAGATGAGATTCCGGTGGAGATACAGTCAAACCACATCGATTGGTCTTTTAGTTCTATGCATAACCGACTTATGATCAGCCATGAATGCCCAAGGGAGACATTTTCCAGTTGGCTAACTGCTGCCTAGTACATAGGTTTTACAGATATCTTACCCTCAACTCCAAAGACACAAACCCTCTGCCAGGCACAGTGGCTCATACCTGTTATCCCAGCACTTTGGGAGACTGAGGCAGGCAGATCACTTGAACCCAGGTGTTCAAGACAAGCCTAGGCAATATAGTGAGGCCCTGTCTCTTAATACATTTTTTTTAAAAGACACAAACCCACTCATGAGGAAAGCTAAATAGTGCTACCTCTTCCAAGAACTCAAAGAAGGCCACTAGAGGGAAAGCGTAACAGGAAGGAATCTTCCGCCCCTCTCCCTTTACTTCCAAACCCTGATGGTGAGGAGGTCTTTTGATCCTGCAGTTTGATTATTTTGAAAGATGTAGGCCTCCTACGTCTTTCAAACCACAGACACGAGGAATCATTTCTGTCAGTTCTCAGGTTATGCCTGAATCTATCCGGGATTTTCTTCATGACCTTGACATTAAAGCTCCCAGACAGGATGATGTCAAGGCCCTAAGATTCCAGCGAAGAGGACACAAACCACTGGATAAGATGTAGAAGAAGCCAGGGCATTGGGGACAGGGAGAGGTAGAAAACAATAACAGGTAGCAGAGGAGGAGATGGCTTCAAAGTGAGCATCTTATCTAGGCACCCCTGGAAAGGTGACAATGTGAAAAGGAAAGAGTGTTTTATATCAACTACCTGTCTCCATGTGCACCTTGTTTTGTGAAAAATAAGACTGTTTTCCCTTTGCTGACGAATTGTTCCTGCAAAGCCTTTCAAATTGTACCAAAAATACCAGAGCTGTTAGAAAACAAATGGTCCTGGAACTTGTTTAAATGTTTCTTTTCCATTCTTTCAGTCTTGAATCCTATATCTGGCTCCCTTTGGGGGTGACTCTGCCTCTTTATAATAAATCAAGTACTACATGTAAAGACTGTATATGTCATTCTTTCTAGTAAAGGCTTAAAGTGGGGAAAAAAAAAATACCCGTTGCAGTTTTTGGTGTTTACATTCTCCAGGTGTCCATCATAAAATCTGTGCTGGAATCTATACTTAGTCTAGCTTATGAAGGACCCACTTCTCTATGTTTTGGGCAAATTTCCTCTCATTCGTCTGCTTGTATAATACTTCCTTTCCACCCCTCCCTGCCTTTCATAATTGCTATGCAATGGGATTTTACTTAGAAGCTAAACTAAGTCATCAATATTTTATTGCTGGTTTTAACTACAATAATTATAATTAAAATAACTATATATATAATGTACATTAACAGCTCAACATTTTACAGAAAGGTTCTAAAGAAGCTTCTTTCCAAGGAGCAGTGAAAATTTAAATTACTTTCAAATACAGTTTCTACTGATTCCCAAAAACCTGGAATGGGAAGAAAGGAAATGGGAATATATTGTCTGTCCTGTGTCTAGAGGGCAATTGTTTTTTCCCCACTTGCCAAGAAGAGAAGTGAACTGGAAGAATGTGCTTACCCAAAGCTACCATGAGTATGCAAATGCCTTTGGAATGTTTCCAATGATTTTAACCAAATATTCAAACCATAACAAGTATTCCCTGTGGCATCGTTGAAGCATGCTGCAGTTACACATTATAAATGGAAGCCAAATCACACACTTGTGTAAAATGACTGGTATAGCAGAAAAACAAGTTATGTATTTAATAAGCAATCTCAACCTTGTAATGTAGTGAAACCCACTTGTAATTTCTTTCATATTTGTTTTTTTCCTTCTGCACACACTGTTCATTTTTAAAGCTCTCTACAAGGCTTTTATAAAAATCAACTTAGCCAATATGCCATCACTCCAATTTTCTTTGCCCATTCCTTTGAAACACTGTACCCCATTCACGAATATTTGTCATATCAAAATGCATGAAATGCAGTTGTACGGCATTCCTGAAAGCATGGTTTTTATTCATGAAATATGTATGTTAAAGAAAGAAGCCCTCAATATGTGTTTATACTCCATATAGGTATGCTTCCTATTTTTTCAACCTGTGGGACACTTTTACAAACAAAAGCCATTCATTCGTAGCTTGTCTACCAAATGAAGGCTGTTATAATTTCTCATACTGGCATTTACTGCCCCGTGATTCTGATTGCCTTAATAAAGTGGCATCATGGGCATTATTGCCGATTAAACATAAGGCTATTGTTAAACATTCAAATACTGGGTATGGCAGTCAATTCCAAAACAGCCTAACCTGAAATCTTGCCAGAAAATAGAAACTGTCCATTCAAAGATGAAACTGTCTATTGTTGCCTTCAGCAGACCCTTTACTAGTTGGGTTCCCTCTCTACTAAATTACTTTATGGATTCCCGTGACATTTCACATTTCTTTAATTAGATAATTATCTAACTCCATTTGAACTATTTGTAAATGTGTTTTCATGCATCCAACTCCTCAGAATGTATTGTATCGTTTAACAGGCATCCAAACACACTGTCCTGTACCAGACAGGTTTAAATATTATACTGATAATTTCCCCATGAGATAATGTTACATGAAATTTTTCTTTAATCAATGTTGATTGAAAAGAAAACAAGACAGTATTTTACCAGTGAGGGCATATTGGCTTAGGTATTCATTGCATTTTAGATCTATTTTTAACCTTGGCTTTATGTTTGAGCCAAAAAAATCATCAACATCCTGAGGATTTTTCTCCCCTTTTGCTGATTAGCTATAGAATGAGGAGAAGCACCTGACGGGGCCACATTAAGAAGGATGCTAAGCGGTTTATAAGTCTCAGTAATTAATGACTATTTTTATCACAAAGAATATAGACTGGCTTCTTCCATCTATCTGAAACTCAATGTGAGCCCTTATAAGCCTCAATGCAGCATAATTGGTGCAATAGAGCTGAAAATGAGATGGAGGATATAATGCAGCTTCAGTAATCCTGCCTTTAGCTAAATGGAACAGTAGAAGCCCCTGGCAGCCTCCAATGTGGCTCCCACTAACATTTAAAGCCAGCCAGCTGTCTACAGTTCCTTGTGAAGCACACATCACTGTTTATATCCTTAAATAGAGTTCAAATGTTCTAAATAATTATATTTATGAGAGTGATTTACTGTGGTAAACAATTTGTTTCTCAGCCTTTTGGCTGTAATTGGATATTTTCTCCAATTAGGAACCATCATGGACTGTGTACTTGTATCAGTTTTTATTCTGACCACTGTGTGCTTACAATGTGCTCTCAAACCTCTTGGGATGAACAAATGGGTTTTGCTTTCTCAGTATTGTTATTTAAAAAACCACTCTCTTGTAAATCATAATATGCTAATAATATGTCTGGGGACTCAATTGGGAAAATGAAAAAAGCTTCACACTCACGAAAGCATGCTAAGTGTGACCACAATAAGTGCTGGGCAATGTGTGTGTTTTAGATTTGTGACTGTCCCTTCAATAGCCTGGATAGCATCCCGTCAATAACCTGGATAGCATTTCATTGTCTAAACCACCCACAATCACAAATAAGCTCCTGACAGGTTTATACCACATGGCTGAAACACACACACAAACACACACACTCACACACACACAAGAGACGGGGATGGGAATTTCTTCTAGGAGATTCTGAGACTAGTCAGGGTTATTTTCAGCAGCCTGTTTGAACAGCATGTAAGCATTTCACTCATGTTCTTCCTCAGAGTACCAGCACCACCCACCATAAAAATAAAAGACTGGTTTCTTTAAAAGAAGGCTATGTCTGAAGATCCACTAGCCGTATCTTCCATGAGTATTATATAACAGCTGCATGCCACCTCTCTCGAAAGTTAGAAAGCCTTTCTGAAAAATTCTCTTGAGATATGCTAAATATCCAGAAATCAAAAAAATCATTGAAGAAACCAAATAGAATCAGATTAATCCGGGGCATGGTTAGTGTCATCTTAAGGGGTCCATGGTGGTCTTAGTGGTCTTAGCTAACCAGCATCACCAGGGGGCGACTTCCCCTTACATCTGATTCACTTTCAGAGTCTCAGGCACAGTCTGGTGTTCAGGCCGCTTATGCTGGCAGAACCTTTTCAAGACAGATGGTGGGAGCAGACCAGGGCACTGGGCCAGAAGCAGCCACAGGTCAGATGACCGCCAGTCACAGAAGAGTCTCCGTCTGGAAACCATTATCAAATTTGGAGGATTTTACTCCCTTTCTGACACCTGTATTCAGCCTGGGTCAGTTACTAGGTATTTCTTTCACAAACGGAGTTTAAGCTATTCTAGTAAGTGTGAATTTTATTTTAAGCTCCATGAAAGTTGCATTTGTGCTCAGGTGACCTTGTCTACAATACAAACAGGTCACACTGACCACATCGTTATAGAAAGCCCATAATCCTTGGGCCAGGGCTGGAAGTCTTTAGGCCAGGTTACATCATATTGCTAAGTGACACATAGTGTAGGCCCTGAGAGATATATTAGTGGGCCTTAAGGGTATCATTAATCTTAAGGCTATGATATGTCTCTTATAGTATACTACAGTTAGATTTAACATCACAATATGGATAAATCAAATGAGATAGAGAAACCAGTTGTAATTCAAATCTTTCAAGAATGACTGTAAATGATGAAATCTTATGCTTGAATAGGAGTCCAAAACACTATCTATTGCATTACATTACATGTGACAAGGGGCTTTCAACATCAGTTACAATCTTCTAATATTGTTTATTATCTACTTCATATAGTCTTTAGTAGGGGTAAAAAATTTCGTGGGATTCATAGATGAAGGTTCAAGAATGACTCCAACTGTTAAACAAATAGCAAAATGAAACAAAAGTAAAATTAGAATTCACTCATTGCAAGCAGGACACTAACCATAACAAAACAGATTAGGTATTAACTATTATTTTCTTTTGACTATTCTTACAAAGCTTAATATTTTGCTAATTGAAATTATACATTTTCCTGAAATCTAGATTTGGACAAACAATATTTTATTCCTCCTAAACATAAAGCTGAATAGTATTAAGATCCAGAGTTATAGCATATAGGCAATATTACACAGGTGATGTAGCATAGTGGTTAAGGGTGTTGGACTCTGGAGTTAGATCTCCTGGGAGTAATTTATAATTCTTGCAATTACTAGCTGTGTGATCTTAGGAAAGTTGCTCATTTTATCTGTAAAATGGGGATAATAGTGAAATGAGCAAATTAGTTGATGCATAGAAATACTTAGAATGGTACAAATGTGTAGGAATAACTCAACAAGCATTAGCTATTGTTACCTTTGCAAAAAAAGGTATTGCTAAATATTTCTGTGTTTGTGTAAATGTGTATATATGCACATGTGTGTATACTTTGTATGTGTGTGCATATGTGTGTGTGTATATATATATATATATGCTCACACACCCCCCCATTGCAAATCACATTTTACATATATTATTTGATCATCAACCAACAAACTTGCACGATAGTAAGGATCAATATTATTTAGTAAATGATTAAATAGAAACCCAAATATGTATGTTACTTTCCCAAGTTCTCATACTCAAAGTAATGGGGGCAGCAGTATTGGCATCCTTTCATTCCGACATGTACTTCAAAGTACTTTCACTTAAACCCTGTCAGTGGCTTTATTTTTTTTTAATTTCCTTAAGTTTTTGAGGAACAGGTGGTGTTTTAAGTTATTTAGTGGTGATTTGTGAGATTTTGGCACACCCATCACCTGAGCAGTATACACTGTACCCAATTCCAAACCCTGTCACTTGCTCCCTAAGGGTAGTGATTATTTTGGTAAGAGTGATTCTGGTGGTGACAAAGTACAAGTGAATGTTGGAACAAGCAGTTAGGAGGGGGAAGATTAAATTTCCCTGAAGCAAGTCAGAGAAACCAGAGTTCCCCTTCCCCAAGGTGGGTCATAGAAACAAGAACACCTCTTTCCCAAAGACAACCATAAAAACTACACGTTTGACTTTAACTTTTTCCTACCTTTGTGTTTAGGAGCTGGCTATAAAACAATTATCTGACCCACTCTTGTTTGATAGGTCATTAGACCCTCATTTTAGAGGGGTTCTGGTCTATACATGGGAAGAAGGAATGCTACAACAGAGAGGCCAGTACAGACAGGCTTCTCTGGGTTTATTCACTCAGTCAATTAGTATTAAATCATATCCCTTGTCCAATCACATTTCTACATGGTCCATTCTTCATTCAACCTAAGCATAAAAATGGATAGTTTTCCCTGTGTCTTTTTATCTTCATTTGGCTTCTGTGTCACACAAAACTTCAGTTAAATGAAGTTGTTGGGCTATTCTCTTGTTAATCTGTCTTTTCTTATAGGAGTGTCAACCATGACTCTTATGATGGTAAGCAAAGCTGTCACACCCTTTTCACTCCTCCACTATCAAACACTGTTTATGCCAAAAATAGATTTTATTGTTTTTTCTCCAATGTCATGAGACATTTTCAAAATACTAATTTTTTTCAGTTTGGTACCCCTGCATCCGATTTAAAGTTATTTCCTCACCAGATAACCTTGGCTACATCTGACACAGGTGCATTTTCTATAGGATTATCATAGTATTACATGGTTCTATTGCTACAATGCTATTGCGTTAAAATAATAATGCACCCCAGATAGGATTCTACATTATATATCTTTTAAGGCAAGGAAATAAAATCATTTTCTCAACCACTCTGGAATAGAAGATGCTCATACATTTATTGTTATTTGTGTTTAGAATACCTATACATCTAGGTTGAGTTTTCTCTATTCCCTTTTCAGTCTCACATGTTATATTAAAATACTTTTCACTTTTGTGAGTCTGGTTATTACAGAATTAGAATCAACGAGTGTTAATGAAAGCAAATATCTACCCAATAACAGAGGATTAAAAAACCAAAAAATTATATAGTGGTCCTTGATTGATGTATATACACATATGTCTTATCAGATCAGGTGCTCTTTGATACTGGGAATGTTTAGAAGAAGCAACACATTTATCTATCACCAATATTGTAGTGAGGATTCCCAACTCAGACAAAATATTAGACAAAGGAACCGCCGAGATTCCATGATTCCAAGGAAGCTCTCAGTAGATCTGTCTCATTATGGGCTAAAAACTTTTCAAGAAAATAAATAATAATTTTTGGTATATTTTCCATTTGATGTTTGAGGGTGAAGTTATTGGATCATAACTGTAAAGGCAATGGCCATGGCCTCTGGAGTTCTATGGACTTGGCTATGAATGTCCGCTCTGATATTTATTAGTTATGCAGAATTGGGAAATTTACTTAACCTCTATAAAACTCATTTGTAATTGGTAAAATGAGATTAACATAACACCTATTAGATAGGGTTAATGTAAATACTGAAACAACATTTTTAATGCTGATACAAATCTCAGCATAAAGTGAGTGCAAATTACATTGTTGCTATTATAACACATAAAGCAGTAGAAATAAAAGTTTTAAAGAGCTGTATTAGCCAGGCGCGATGGCTCATGACTGTAAACCCAGCACTCTGGGAGGCCAAGGTGGGCAGATTACCTGAGATCAAGAGTTCGAGACCAGCCTGGCTAACATGGTGAAAACCTGTCTTTACTAAAAATACAAAAATTAGCCAGGTATGGTGGCACACAACTGTAATCCCAGCTACTCAGGAGGCTGAGGCAGGAGAATCACTTGAACCTGGGAGGCAGAGGTTGCAGTGAGCCAAAATCGTGCCACTGCACTCACTCCAGCCTGGGCAACAGAGTGAGATGCTGCCTCGGGAAAAAAAAAAAAAGGTATATTAGTGAGATTGTTTGTAAAAGTCATAAAATGCAATTGTGCCATAGTTGTGTATAAAAATTATTCACTTATATCTGAAATGATTAAATCATTTTTATCAGATTAACATATTCATTTTTGTGTTTCAGTTATGACTTCTTAATCTGTTAATATTTCTTTCCTTGTTTATGGAATACAACTCATTTATCTTGACATCCTCTGAAATAACTTTAAAATGAATCAAGCAATGTGTTTTTCTTGTTTGGCAGTTTTACCTTTTTGAGCTATAAATTCAGAGATCATTACCTTTTGGTGGAGGATCTGAAGGAAGTAGGGTAGGCAGGGAAGGGGAAATAGAAGTGTTAACTGGGAAGAAATGTGTTTAGTGTTGAGTATAGAAAGAAATGTTAGCATATACAAAATGAAGATGCTTAAAAAAAATGCAAGGAGAAAATAAGCATTAAGACCCCAAACACTAGATAGAAAACTAAACAAACTGGGAACCCAACAAAAATAGCATAAAGGAACTTACTGGATATTTGGTTTAGGCTGGGGATTGTGATCTTTTGAAATGTGAATTTTAAATCCATTCACTATTATATTTGGGTCATAGAATCTTAGCATTAAGCTACCCACTCAGCCCCTCTGCCTACATCAAGATGGAGTGCTCTGTGGAGACTGATGAACGCCGGCCTCACAGTGGGTTACACAGAACATTCGCCTTGAACCTAAACCACTGTAGGAGTTACTTGTTTGAAGAAAAGCTACTTAATCTCAATTTTACAAATTACCATCAGATAACAGTTATTTTTTATTTACGTAAGCAGTAAACAATAACAACTTATTATATTTATAATTTTTTCATTGATCTTATTAGTCAGCCACTGTTGAAAAGAAGGGAGATAATCAGTGTCTCCAGAGAGCAGTTACCTAGTGTCCTCTATTAAAGAAAGTGAACTCCACTTAACCAGAATACAAACTCAGATTCATAACATTTTTACATTCTTAAAAATTCATTTCTTTCAGAGTTTAAGTCACCACATGTTAACAAAATGGAAATAATTTGTTCTCTCTGATTTATATTTCACTGAATTCCTTCAGTAGTCCATTGCTGATACCCACTGGCTTGCATAACCCAAATGTCCAACAATGATAAACTGGATTAAGAAAATGTGGCACATATACACCATGGAATACTATGCAGCCATAAAAAATGATGAGTTCATGTCCTTTGTAGGGACATGGATGAAGCTGGAAACCATCATTCTCAGCAAACTATCGCAAGGACAAAAAACCAAACACCACATGTTCTCACTCACAGGTGGGAATTGAACAATGAGAACACATGGACACAGGAAGGGGAACATCACACAGCAGGGCCTGTTTTGGGGTGGGGGGAGGGGGGAGGGCTAGCATTAGGAGATATACCTAATGTTAAATGACGAGTTGATGGGTGCAGAACACCAACATGGCACATGTATACATATGTAACAAACCTGCACGTTGTGCACATGTACCCTAAAACTTAAAGTATAATAAAAAATAAAAAAATACAAAATAAAGTGAGCTCCACTTAACCAGAATACAAACTCAGATTCATCTTTTTTACATTCTTAAAAATTCATTTCTTTCTGAGTTTCAGTCACCAAATGTTAACAAAATGGAAATAATTTGTTCTCTCTGATCCTATATTTCACTGAATTCCTTCAGTAGTCCATTGCTGATACCCACTGGCTTGCATACCTCTTAAGCTCTTCAACTCTGTTCACCCACACTGGTGCCTGAAGTTTGTGGATTTTAAAATAAAAATAACAATAATTCAAGTTTTTTCCTACGCCCCTCCCACTAAAGATGTTTCTGGCTCTGCTGCTAAGTTTGTTCCTTTATCTCAAACAATAAGAGACGTTCCAAGTCCAAGCAGATCTTCGCATTATTGTGATACATAATTATGGGAAGGTAAGAGAAAGAAATTGCACTAGAACGTAAAATATTAGGGAAGATATTTTTCAGGAAATTTGGATGTTGAGCTTTGGTAATGGGCTTACTAGAGGCAGATAGGAGAGGAAGTATTACGGTGGACCTTATATCTTCTTCATGGAGCTTGAGACATGTAATCAACTCACTTCTTTTCTCTATTTCTCTCTTTTTTTTGTCTCTCTTTCTCTTTTTCTTTTTCTTAATACATAAGGCTTTATTTTCTACATGTCTTTTATTGTATAAATTCAAGGTGTACAACATGATGTTTTGAAATATACATATATATACACATAGATGTATACATACACTATATATACCTACATATGTGTGTATATATACATATATGTGTGTATGCATATATATACATATATACACACTATATATACATACACTATATATGTAGGTGTCTGTGCGTATATATATACACACATATATATACATACACTATATATACCCGTGTGTGTGTGTATATATATGTGTGTGTATGTACATATATGTGTGTGTGTGTATACACACACGGGTATATATAGTGTATGCATATATAGTGTGTACATATGCACACACACATATATACACACATATATATGTAGATATATATATAGATATATGTATATAAAATGAGTACTACAGGTAAACAATTTAACATGTCCTTCATCTCATATAGTCATCCTTTCTGTGGCAAGAGCACCTAAAATACACTCTTGAAAAATTTCCAGTATATAATACAATATTATTAACTATAGTCCTCATGCTGTACTTTAGATCTCTAGATTTATTCACCCTACATAACTGTACATTTTTACTCTTTGACATATATCTTCCAATTCTCATCCCCCTTTCTTCTCAACTCCCCACCTCACCTCTGATAATCACCATTTTATTATGTTTCTAAGTATTCAACTTTTTTAAAGATTCCACATATAAGAGAGATCATGTAGTATTTTCTTTTTTTATTATTATACTTTAAGTTTTAGGGTACATGTGCACAACGTGCAGGTTTGTTACATATGTATACATGTGCCATGTTGGTGTGCTGCACCCAGTAACTCGTCATTTAACATTAGGTATATCTCCTAATGCTATCACTCCCCTCTCCCCACTTCCCCCACCCCACAACAGGTCCCTGTGTGTGATGTTCCCCTTCCTGTGTCCATGTGTTCTCATTGTTCAATTCCCACCTATGAGTGAGAACACGCCGTGTTTGGTTTTTTGTTCTTGCGATAGTTCGTGGAGAATGATGGTTTCCAGCTTCATCCATGTCCCTACAAAGGACATGAACTCATCCTTTTTTATGGCTGCATAGTATTCCATGGTGTATATGTGCCAAATTTTCTTAATCCAGTCTATCATTGTTGGACATTTGGGTTGGTTCCAAGTCTTTGCTATTGTGAATAATGCCGCAATAAACATACGTGTGCATGTGTCTTTATAGCAGCATGATTTATAGTCCTTTGGGTATATACCCAGTAATGGGATGGCTGGGTCAAATGGTATTTCTAGTTCTAGATCCCTGAGGAATCACCACACTGACTTCCACAATCACTGAACTAGTTTACAGTCCCACCAACAGTGTAAAAGTGTTCCTATTTCTCCACATCCTCTCTAGCACCTGTTGTTTCCTGACTTTTTAATGATTGCCATTCTAACTGGTGTGAGATGGTATCTCATTGTGGTTTTGATTTGCATTTCTCTGATGGCCAGTGATGATGAGCATTTTTTCATGTGTCTTTTGGCTGCATAAATGTCTTCTTTTGAGAAGTGTCTGTTCATGTCCTTCGCTCACTTGTTGATGGGATTGTTTGTGTTTTTCTTGTAAATTTGTTTGAGTTCGTTGTAGATTCTGGATATTAGCCCTTTGTCAGATGAGTAGACTGCAAAAATCTTCTCCCATTATATAGGTTGCCTGTTCACTCTGATGGTAGTTTCTTTTGCTGTGCAGAAGCTCTTTAGTTTAATTAGATTCCATTTGTCAATTTTGGCTTTTGTTGCCATTGCTTTTGGTATTTTAGACATGAAGTCCTTGCCCATGCCTATGTCCTGAATGGTATTGCCTAGCTTTTCTTCTAGGGTTTTTATGGTTTTAGGTCTAACATTTAAGTCTTTAATCCATCTTGAATTAATTTTTCTGTGTCTAGTTTATTTCACTTAGCAAAATGTCCCTCAGGTTTACCCATATTGTCACAAATGGCAAGATCTCTTTTTTAAAGCTGAATATTCAGTTGTGTATCTATACACTGAGATATATATGTATATGTACACTGTGATTTCTTTATGCAGCCAACTGTTGACAGACATTTAGATTTCTTCCCATACCTTGACCATGGTGAATAATGCTGCAATGAATATGAGAGTGCAGATTTCTCTATGATTTCATTTCCCTCATATATCTACCACCAAATTAATTTATTTTGATATTTCCTTTTAGTGGCCAGTCTTTGTTTTTCTTTGTCCATGACAAGGCTAAAGACTGCTTACTTGAATCATGACTATATTATTTATACAACAACTGGTTTCTAATGCCAGTATATTGAATACTATTATGTGTATGGGATGCATAGTAGGGGTTAGTGGAGAAGATTCATAGCCAAAATCTATCATATTGGAGCAATAGCAAAAAAAGAATCAAAATTGTTTAGAAAATATATTAAAAATTTAAATATGTAAATGAGAAACTGTACCAGTCAGCAACAATACAAAACTTGTGAAAATGATACAAATCCAAGAGAGAAGCAATAAGACACTGCATAAGATGTTTACATCCATACAATTTAAAAATAAAGAGAACCATAAAGAACGTAGAAGATGAACATGTTTGTGACATTTTCAGTAAAGACTTCCCAATGCAGACTCCACTCCCCTTGACTGTGACAATGGTACCCATCTGTGAGGTAATGCTTTATAACATTGCTTCAAAATTCAGTGTATAGTACAGGTTGAATCACGTGGGGTCTATTTAGATCCACCGCTGCAGGTTAGGTTTTGAAATGAGATAGTAGGGATTTGTGTTGTAGACAAAAATGAAAGTTCATTATGAAAAGATTTTGAGTTAAGTACAGGGAGGCCAAGTTGCATCTGTAAGTTCAACTGAGCTCCAAGGCACTGTGCACAATTTTCTTTGCCCACTGACTCTGGTCATAGCAGTACTCAAAATAAATCATGAGGTTGTATACCCATGAAGTTTTTCCTGACCTACTGTTTGGCATCTCTGCCTGGAAGGAAAATCGAAGAAATGAGAAATGGAGAGATTTATCTCTTCTGAGGCCTTTAGAAGTAGTCTAGGATGAGAGCAATTGGTGCATCTTAACTTTTCTATCACCTAAAATGGCAATGAGAATAGAAACAGACAATACTCCATACTCTTCACATATACCATCTCCTTTAACCCCTGCAACAATCAAATGCAATATGCATTGTGTTTTATATTTTATGAATAAAGAAACTGTGACTTTCAGGAGTATGTGCTCCAAATCACTCAGCTAGTTTAAGGCCAGGATTGAACTAGGTCTAACAGAGTGCTTTCTTTTTCTTTTTCTTTTTCATATTTCTTATTGAACTACCTCCTTTCGGACTGCTTTTCTTGCAATGCTTTACCGTCTATAAGAATATATTTCCCTAGACTTTATACTCCTTTGTGTCAAAACTGTTGTAAAAACAAGGGCAACAGTAGCATTGTTAACATAATATGCCCCAGACTAACTCTCTAAAAGAAAATCTAAAACTTTGATTGATATAAAACAAATTAACCTAACAATTAGGGTTTTGTCCCAAATGCAAATAGTCAGAAAACTTAAACCCTTATTTTTTTCCCCAAGATTACAATACTATTAACGAACATCCTAAACTAATGCAGGTTTTCTAAGTGACTTGGAAACGAATAAAATATTAAGGTGTCTTGATCTTGAATACAGCATCAGTGTTACATATATTTTATTGTGTGATAATACCTGGAACAATTTTCAATTTATTTATGATGCATATTGTTACTCTCAGCCAATTCCCTAATCATGATTTGTAAAGGAAAGTTTAATAGAATTGTCTTTGTTCAAAGCTACAGGGTGGATTGGCTCCTTTGCTGCTTTTCTGTACTAACATACCCACTTTTAAAGTCCTAGAAAATATAGTAGATCATGAGAAGAGAAACGTTTCTTCTACCAGGGTTAAAATGTTTCCAAATATAAATCTAAGTAGAATATGCATAAATATTTAAATGCTCCTTGGCCTATTACTATCCTTGTGTTCATAGTATGAGATTCATCTATGAAAGAAATCAAGGCGTGAATTTAAATTCTCTACAAGGATAATTACCCGTTGCATCTAATTTTAAGGGTAAGTTTTTAAAGAAACTGGGGCCATCTCATAGGGGACAGACATTAGCAAAAATCAAGGTATGGCCTGTCGTGTCATATCTTAAGAGTAATACCTTTATGAACACCCTTGTGGTTTTTTTCACTTGCTTTCTTGCCACATTAACCAACAAGTTCCCACAGTATTGATTGAGAACTGATATCTACTTGCATGCAGATTCTTACTGTGAAAAGTTATGTGGTCATGATTCTGAAATAATCCTGGTAGGTGAATGTGGATATACCAGTATTCTCTGGTGATGTTTTAAGAGATTCTGAAAGGGTCTGAACTCACAGGCTTTTAAAGAATTTCGAGTCTGTATCTACTCCTGGATGCTGACTGCCACCTTCAATTTCTTTACTTTACAGGACTAATCTCCTTTTAAGGAAGGGCATTAACTTACCAAAAAGGAAATGGTGTGCTTGTAATGACAAATGAACGTGACTCTTCTCTTCTATTTGATAGAAGGGCACTTGTTCTGTTTAAATTGTGTATTCTTTTGTAAACAGACTCTCCAGCCCTCCAGCTAGAGGAATCAATGCCCTGTGCAGATGGTGCCAGACCTTTACTTAGAAATGCATGTACTTCATTTATATTAAAGTTTTGATATTTAACCCTCTGTCTTTACTTTAAATCAGGGCCCTAGGGCAAGGACAAATGTTTTCATCTTTTTAAATTTAAAAATTTGTTTCACACTATAGAAGGGAAATTAAATCTCAGAATGATTTGAGTCTGTGAGCATAAAAATAGCCCTCTAGCATAGTATGCATTTAACAAGCGTCATAATCTGAGGATCAGTGTCTCAAAATGAGAATGAGAATCAAAAGAATTAGAGGAAAAAAGTTGTGTCTGTAGAAAGACATATATAAAGCCCTGTGAATATAAAAACCAAGCCAACCTAATTAAAATTCAAGCTTTTTAAAATATATCTCTATACCAATTCCTCCAACACACATACAAATATACACATAAAAAATACAATACAATCTAAAATTATGCTATTTAGAATTTTTTAAAAGTAATTATAGGACTTAACTCATATAGCAGCTAGAAAATTATCACACGTTGTAGCTACTGCCACCATAAGAATTGATTTCAATTCAGCCTTTAATGAGATCAGCAATTTCTATTCATTTTCATGGGCACCTACTCCTATAATGAAAAGGATTAATTTGAAGTTACTAGAAATGCATCACCTAGCTCATGTTGGAAGGTTGCTAGTCTGTGGGCCATAAATATAAATTTTTCAAGTACTAGGTTGACTATGTTTCATTAAAACTGATGATGTTTTAGTATTTTATATGCAGAGTCATGCACAGGTTGTGTAAAGCAGGGTTTTAATATAGAATGTATTTGAGGAGAAAAAGCTGTCATAGAAAGGTGATCGTCTGTTACTCACAGAGGCACTAGTGAGCACGCAGGAACACTTCCTTTGTGGAGTAAGTGCAGAATAATCTCTGAATCACAGAGATTATCTCTTCACGATAAAATAGGCCCAGAAAACATAGCCCCATCTCTAAAATAGACAGTTTAAAGTCAGAAGAAGGCCTCTATGCCATGGCTACTCTTTGAAGCCAATGATATTGATTTATGCTGTTTCTCCCTAAGTAAAAATCATAACGGTTGGAGGTCAGGGTTATAGGTTTGAGAGAAAGTAATATACACATTGTGAACTAGGCTACTACTTTGTCCCATGTGAGTTGGCCCCTGACTGTAAGCGAAGATTTCCCCGTAGTCCTTCTCCAACTCCATAACAAATGCTGTTCAAATGGACGATTTTGACAATGGCAGCCTACTGTCAAACTCAATGTGAGGCATGCTGCAGAATTTTCAGCAGGCCCACAAAGCACAAGTCCATTCAATTTCCTGAAAAATCAGCCATAAGCGATACTCCCTGGGTAATGTAAATTATGCACATATAATGACCAAGCAAATAATTTAATCCCAATTTGATCAATTCACCGAGGAAGAAAAAAAAAAGATAGCCAATTTGGTTTCACACAGAAACGCGAGCAATTCGTCTCCTGGACATTTCACATTTCAATTAGGAGTGTTATAGACAGGTTTTTCAGATTTCTATTTTATGTTAAAGGAAGAGTTCATTAGAATTTTGAGACTCAATCATTAAAAAGGCTCAAAATACCAAGAATTATTTGTAAAATGGTGATACTCTAATTTTTAAAAGTGAAAATCATGCACAAAATGGTTAAATGTATATTTCTTTGAAAATTATTTTCAAAAGCTGTACTGAATCTTAACATAGTACTCGTCATTTTGCCAGTGGAATAATAACATATAATGAGTCTCAGCCTTGCTGCAGAAATCTCACTTTGGGATCAGTATCCTCTGTGACATCCATGAACCAAGATAAGACAAGATTACCAATAATGATGTCCTGGACAGCAATCTGCCATAATGCACTGAAGTCCAGCCAGGGTTATTGTTCTCCCTGAGCCAGACGGGTGAGAAGGGGGATGCGTAAATGATGTATGAATCCTTGTGTTGTACCTAACAGAGGCAGGGTGTTTATCTTCCAAAATATGTGTAAGACTCCTGTCACTTAGACATATAACACTCCAGGAAGACAAAAGGAAGAGGAAAAAAAGGAAGTTTTTTTAAAAAGTAACTTTCAAGCCATTGTGCGAGGGAGAAGAAGAAGAAATGACTGCCAAGTTTGAGTAGTTCTAGCGAATGTGCTTATGTAAAATAAAAACCACAAATTAATTCAGTGAAGAGAAGAGAACAAAAAACTCTAACTTAGTTATTTCCAAAATTCAGCCCAAACCACTGGCTGATATTTTTTATTTTCAAGTTTTCACCTGGTTTGTTAGTGTCATCCTAATCAAAGCCATAATTGATAGAATATTATGTGCAAAGGAAAAATGTCCTTCTTTTCTTAATGTCCAAACATGTATGGATCTTGACTTCTAAAAGAAACATTTATTCTACCTCTTACTTAGCACAGTCCTTTTAATTAGTGACCATGACAATTTAGAATCTTTAGAGATTGAAGGGCCTATAAAATTCATCTCATAGAATTCTGCTGTTTGAAAGAATTTGAACTAATATTTAGATAACATATTGTGCCATAATATCTAACTCTATCTCAATCTAGAGTTGAGAGAACGGCACAATATAATATCTAAATGTAACTTTAAAAATAAATTATTTTTGCCCATGATATACAATGCATAAGGTAGATAAACTTTTTCTCAGTTAATGATTGTGTACATTCTTACACGTGCAAACAGTAGCCCAATCAGCATTTATGACCTCTATATGTCCAGTTCATTTAAGTGGCTCAGGATAATGTATGTAGTGATAAGATCTGGATTTGATGTTAGACCTAGTTTCCTAAAACTTTGCCCCTAGCTCCTAGGACTATAAGTTCAGGCAACTAGTTTATCACTCTGCCCCTTAGCTTCCATCATAAAATGGGATAAATAATTCATAGGGTGGCTCTAAAGATTAAGTAAAGTAATATATGTAAAGTGGCTAGTGCATTGCAAGCACTCAATAAACATTAAATGTCACTATATTTTTATTTCTACAGGCACAAAATATTTTAGCGAATGAATCAGTAAAAATCAACTTTTCCTAAATTTTGACTGTGAAGCACGTGTTAGTCACAGTTTGAAAAACATGGGACAGAAGATCAGAAGAAACTGAAGATCCAGATACTGTTACTCACTATAGCTGAATTTCCATTTGTGATTAAACTTCAACTTCCTAATAATTGACAACATAACATACTAGGATAATAGGTAATAATATTTGTTGTGCATATCTCCACATGTAAAGACTGGTTATTTCTGTTTTCAAGGCACCAACGTGTTTATATTGTACTTTACAATTAGTTAGAATCCTTAGATCAGTTCCTAGTTAATATGTGAATGTAGGAGAAAAACTTGATCGATTGCCATCCTAAATAGCTCACTTTCTTATACAGTTAGTCACTGCTTTAGCAAATGTATTTTGAACACCTACTATGTGCCAAACACAGGCTAGTGCTAGTAGGAGAGACAACAAAGTTAATAAAACAAGATAGGGTTTACAATTGACACATATATTCTCTCACACACATTTGTAATCAATTGAAAAACAAATACTGAACAAGATTATGAGCTACAGAATCCAGTGAGATTTTGACAGTAGATACAAAGGAGAAGGGAATTGTTAAGAAAAGTCACGTGAACAAATAACAGAGAATAGAAACATGAGGTCTGGTTTATTATTTCCCTCTTTATCTGTCAAAATCCTACTCTTCCTTTAAGGCCTAATACAAATTGTAAACTGACTTCTAATTTTCCCCCATACTCTTAATTTTTGTCTTCCCATATTGCCTTTTTTTTTTTTTTTTTTTTTGCCTTAGTAAGTTAAGTGTTTATCTAAATTAGGAACAATGACTTGGCAAGACTTACTTCCCTAGGACCTGACATGGTGCCTCTCCTCATATATTAGAATTCAATAAAAAGTTCTCATCCTAAAATATAGGAATTGAGGAAAAATAAGAAGTCAAGGTTGCTGCTGGAATTTAAATTTATGTATAGAAAGAGCACAGAAATGTGGAGTCCCGGAATAAAGGGGTAGTTTAAGTTGCTTTGGAAGAAGAACATTCATTGTGATTTTTCTTTTGATGGCAGCCTAACATCTGAGCAGAGGAGGTTCTGACCAATGTTTTCACATATAGGATTAGAATTTTAAAAGAGGCCATGATTTTAGAAAGAGATATAAGACTCATAACTGTGTGTAAAAAAGATGAGGAGTGCTCTAATTAAAAAACAAACAAAAAAACAAAAAAAGCCCTAAGGAACAACTCTACTTGGGGAAGAAAAGGAAGTTATTAGAACAGAAAATTGAGAAAAATTAGAAAGAGAACTAAGACAGCTTATTGTCAGAGGACTCCAGGGACAAAATGAAAGGAAAGGAGAGAGATCGAGGAAAGCTGAGAAAGAACTGTTAGATTTGTGACATAAGGGATCACTGGGTACCATAAAACATTATTTGGGAGCTGAATGGAAGTCAGTTTATCCAAAGAACGTTTATTTCTCATGTTGCATACACTTACACCTATGAACATCATCATATCACTGAATAGAATCCATACAAAGTAGTACGAGATATCAATGGCTTTATGAAGGGCAAAAAGCAAGTGCTTATTTGAAGCTATTTCAATATATAACTGTGATTTCCACGTAGTGGCCTCATTTTAATAGTACATTAAATAATTTTGCACTTATTTATGACTTTACAACATGAATTATTTAAAGCCTATCATTAACATTTCTAGAAGTTAGGAAATTTATACCTACTATCACAATTAAACTACAGCAGGAAGTCATTCTTGATGCAAGAATAAGAAGCCCACATACTATTCGAGAATCAGTGGTTACTATTTTCATGAAGAAAAGTAGATGTATTATAAAATACAGTAGGAGGAGAATCAGACTACCCAAAGGTAATTTAGCTTGCAGGTAGTATGAATGCTTTGTATTTTGGAAATTATGTATAGGTTTGGAGGGTTAAAGAAAAACATGAAGAAATGAATATAGATGACCAGCTTCCCAGAGAAACTGCCTGATTCAGTTTGCAGAAAGTATGTAATTACAAATGATGAGCTAGTTGAGCTAGTCTTAAAAAGACAATAAACGCATACTGAGGATGAAATTTCTCTCTATATTATTATATAATGAGAAAAGAAAACATTTGCTGTTGTAATATGGAAGTAAATACACTTTCATGTTGGAATTAAGTTGGTTATCTAGATTCATACTCTGTGAAACCATGTAGAAGTCAGTATATTATCCACTTCCTTTTGGAGTATAGATATTCATCCAACCATCCAGTAATTTATCCATTTAAAAAATAATTGAATGCTTATTATATGTCAAGCACTGTGATAGGCACTGATCACACGATCACAAATAAGACTTATCCCTTGCTCTCAAGAACTGAAAACCTAGTAGCATTCTGTATATATTTCAAAAATCAAAGAAAATTTATAGAGTGACTTTAAAAATCCAATACATATACTATTGAACACCACGTAAAGGTCTCATCATATGTTAACACCAGTTAAAGGTCTCATCAGCTTGACATCTATTCACTCTATGGTATTATTCATATCTGATATCCATATATCATATCTGGTATCCAAAACTTTTGGACTTACATCCAAACAAAGAGGGGAGGGGTAATTAACATGTTATTGGTTTTAGGTTAATAGAAAATTTCTAAAGAATGCACGTAACAAATTATTACATAAGTTCTCACTATAATCAATTTTTTTTTTTTGAGACGGAGTCTCACTCTGCCACCCAGGATGGAGTGCAGTGGTGTGATCTCAGCTCACTGAAATCTCCACCTCCTGGGTTCAAGGGATTCTCCTGCCTCAGCCTCCCAAGTAGCTGGGATTACTGGTGCCCGCCACCATGCCTGGCTACATTTTCTGTATTTTTTTTTTTTTTTTTTTTAGTAGAGAGAGGGTTTCGCCATGTTGGACAGACTGGTCTCAAACTCCTGACCTCAGGTGATCCACCTGCTTAAGCCTCCCAAAGTGCTGGGATTAATAGGCGTGAGCCACCATGCCCGGCCCAGATTTTTTCTTTTTTTTTATAGATGCATTCAATGATATTTTTTATTTCAATGTTCCACAAGACAATATTATAATACTTTTTAAAAATATTAAGTTTAGGCTACTATTATTCATTAAAAAACGTGCGTTAAAAGGCTGTTTTTGCCAACTTTCTTCTTTTGGTAAACTTTAACTTTCACATTAAGACATTGAAGATGAAAAACTGTTGGAAAAAAATCTTCAAATGTACAAAGTCATTTATTTTTCTTGGCAATTAAAAATACAGAGCAATTTAAAATGAATACACATTAAGTTAGTGTTTTATCCCTACTATACAATTGTTATTATATAAGGAACTGCTCTATTCAGTTAAAACCTAATGAATACCATCAACTTTTCCTAGCTTACTTTCCTCATCAGATTTAGTACATAAACATAATTTTGTTACCCTTTTGAATATGCTTAGAAAAATGACAATATAATAGTTCACATAAAGCCCTTTAAAATCTCATGTACAAGTAAATAACGAGAGCACTCTTCTTAGGAAGACCCTCTTGACAGAGAGAGTCAATACTAAGCAGGTTACATAAACAGAAAAAACAACCACAATTTTTAGTACCAGAACCATTACCAACTTGCATGAAGTCCAGCTGTCACATTTTTAAATGGTTTGAATTTGAAAATAGATGCCATGGCACAGAATTTCAAATTTCATGATTAAATCAGGTAACTAATGATAGTTAAGAATTATATCCTGAAAACAGAGGAACCTAATATAAGGCTTAATTTCAGATGTGAGTGTATGAGAGTATTTTATGGCATACACACCAGACCTTCATTTTATTTATCAGATTCATTTTTTCCTTTGCTAGACACTTAAACCACTAATGCTGCTATTCAAATTTGTAGTTTGAAATTGTTCAATTACTCTTAAAATTAAATCAGTTTTCTTTTGTATGTTTCACTTTTGGGTAAAAACTGTCCCCCTTTCACCACTGTTAATATTTAGAATAAGTTTTCCTCCCCAAATCAACTATTTATTATATTCTAAAAGGAAAAATATGACCACCATTAGGCAGACTTCAGAAGTGAATCTAGAGTCAAACATGATTTGAAAAGTGGAGTTCTAAAAATGTTTTGCATAAAAGCTGTATCCCACCGGAATGAATGTGAAGCCATAACACTTCATTATTTTGAACAAACAATACCCATTTAGTGCATAAGAAAAATTAGTTTTATAGTTATACCTTATAACTCTTAAAAGTCTCAGAACATAGCTGAGTGAGGAGCTTTAAGTGCCAGCAACGCCAATTTTTTTCTATTAATCAACCTACTAGCCATCTAATTTGCATTGGATAGAAGGCGTTTTGCTCTGTCAGCCACAGACCACAATTCCAAAGATGCAGGGATAGAGCATAAGGGTGTTACATACCAACTGCTTATATAGATGGATATCATTTTGCTACATTGAAACAGAAAAAGATTGTTTTGCCTCTAGGTTGAAAAAGGACAATAAGAAGGGATCATCCAAATTACAAAAAGACAATTCACAAGAAGCAAAACTACCTTACACACGCACATATGTCAATTATCCTATAGACACTAATGTATTTGATGTGCCACATAATGCCACCCAAGCTCTTGGAGATCACCAAATGTGGTATTTAAACTCAGTCTGTTCTTAGGTGAATATTTCACTTAAAAGTACAAGTTTCATTGGATAAAAATAAGAGCTTGAAACTTCATAGCCCCAAGGCCCTGTTCTTTGCTTGCTTCTTAAGCACAATACTTTTCCCCAGGTGATGGATAGAAAGTACAAAAGGGACTCATGAGTGGGGTAGCACGTCCCTGGAAAAGAATGAGATATGAAAGTTTGAAAATTGAGTTTCCTGTTGAAAAGGTGGCGTTCTTTAATTCTCAGTGATTCTGGCTACTGGTAAATGTTTTCACTTGGAATGTACATCCTTGAATATTACATTGTCAAGATGCCTAGAAAATGGGTTCTGAACAAAGCCATTTTTCTACCATTATATACTAATAAAACAAAGTAAAACAAACGTATTTATACACTCTCTGCTTTATAAAACTACCACGATATCAGTTTAGCCTACGGAATTTTTATGAGAACCTTTTCATGTTGTACTCACTTACACGAGACCACTTAATCATCCCATTTAGTCCCCAGTCATTAGCAGGCTTACTGACTTAACTTGATTACAACATAAAATTTAAAATAACAATTTATCAAAAACAAATGACGAAGAAAATTCTTTGGAAGGTTTTCTCTTATAAATCTCTGTGCAAAATGTGGAAGACCTGATATACTCAGTTATTTGTCATAAAAGAGATATACAATTCAAATTATGACTTCTCTCTTTCATTGTTACTCTTCTGTTTTATCCCAGTAGTGGACTTAATAAAATAGCCATCTTATTTAGCTACCTCCTCCACTTTAGCTTTAAATACAATTGTTGGTCAAGTTTCATTGACTCGTTCTTTTCTCATCTCCTTCACAATTCTCAAAGCTACCACCCAAGTCAAGGCCCTCCTTGTCTGACACCTGGATAAGGACAAAATATGTTGAGTATTTACTTCAACTTTCGTATCCTTTTGATACCCACAATGCACCACAGCACTTTCAGATGAATCTTCCTCAAACATTGTTTTCCTCAGTTCATTCTCCTGCTTAAGAATAAATAAAGTGGCCGGGCGCGGGGGCTCACGCCTGTAATCCCAGCACTTTGGGAGGCCGAGGCGGGTGGATCACGAGGTCGGGAGATCGAGACCATCCTGGCTAACACGGTGAAACCCCTTCTCTACTAAAAATACAAAAAATTAGCCGGGCGTGGTGGCGGGCGCCTGTAGTCCCAGCTATTCAGGAGACTGAGGCAGGAGAATGGCGTGAACCCGGGAGGCGGAGCTTGCAGTGAGCCGAGATCGCGCCACTGCTCTCCAGCCTGGGCGACAGAGCGAGACTCTGTCTCAAAAAAAAAAAAAAAAAAAAAAAAAAAGAAGAAGAAATACAGCAATCTAGTGATAACATCATTTATCGAAATGCCTCTTCTTATTCCAAGTCTTCCTTAATCTCCTTCCACCCAATCTTATAGTATAGTCTCTTCTAATCTGTTTTTAAGTAGCTAGTGGTTTGAATGTATAATTCCTTAAGATCAGCATAAATCATATAGCTTAAAGCAGGGATCTGGAAACTATGGCCTGTGGACGAAATCTGGCCTATCACTTGTTTTTATATGTCCTTATGGGCTGAAAAAAAAAGTCAAAAGAATAATATTTTGTGATGTGTAAAAATTATTTAAAATTCAAATATATATATAAATCATGCACCATCGATTGATTTTTATATATAAATACACACATATATCTTTTTTCTTCCTTATTTAGTAATGTATATCAGCCATGTTACATTCTACTATAATGAGCTATTATAAAGATGAATCTCTTTTTAGCAAAATTAGGAAAAGTATTTTCAGGCCGGGCGCGGTGGCTCATGCCTGTAATCCCTGCACTTTGGGAGGCCAAGGTGGGCAGACCACCTAAGGTCGGGAGTTCGAGATCAACCTGGCCAACATGGTGAAACGCCGTCTCTAGTAAAAATACAAAAATTAGCCGGGCATGGTGGCGGGCACCTGAAATCCCAGCTACGTGGGTGGCTAACGCAGGAGAATCACTTGAGCCCAGGAGGCAGGCTCACTTGCAGTGAGCCAAGATTGCACCACTGCACTCCAGCCTGGGCGATAGAGCAAGACTCCGTCTCAAAAAAAAAAAAAAAAATATATATATATATATATATATATATATATATTCATTAAAACCTGCTAATATTTCAGATTTAGTGAAACATAACAGAAGAAATGGGAACGGGAAGAGGAAACATATACATAGAGCAAAAGATGAATTTAGTGAGCGAGAAAGGTAAAAGAGAGCAAAAGGGAACAGTTTATAGAGACATAGATGGAGAAAAACCGAATTGGAATTGTTAAGGGCATATAGGAGCAGTATTCCCACATCTAGCCACCTCCTCCCCTGTTGCTTCTTCTCCTTATTAAAACAAAAACAAAAACATTACTTTTTGGCTCTTATTTGTAAGATTTAATTATTCATCTCAGTTAACCCTCACAGCAACCCTAATTAAGACAATAATACTATTGTAAGTTATAGATGAGGAATAAAACTGAAAGATAGTGACCAAGAGATGGACCTGTAATCCTAACTCTGGTACAATGCTAACAACGGTTATTCTAACACCGCCTTGCTTTTATTCTTCTTCAATATTATCCTTCTTACGAGTGTATATTTAGATCTTTAGAAAATAACACATTTCAACAATTACTGTAGAATGCTGTCATTTGAAACTCTGCTTGCCTCTTACACTTAAAGGCCTCAAGATCTTGTAAAATGCAGGGGTTGATTTTTACTTAAGAGTCTCTTGTCAGAGAGAGTAATAGAGATTTTTGTTGACATGAGGAAATAAACTACAATGGTAGGTTTCAAGGCTATTGACTGGTGAATAAATATCATTCTAACAGTGAACACTTATTGGCCTCTTACTAGGTTTCAGTCATCCTTTCCTCACAATAATCCTGAAGGGTATATACAGTTATTATCCCTATTTGCATCACAGATCATCGCATCACAGAAAGGTTTAAAGTAACTTGCCGAAAGTTATAGAGCTAGGTGGGTGGGGGAGCTGGAATGTGAACCTCAATGATCCAACTCCAAAGCCATGCAATTAACCGCTATGCTAGGCTAAGAACATTTTTTAAGCACCTAAATGTATGAGACTTATGAGCAGCTAAACATATTAAATTTGTGGATTCCATTTTCAAAAGACAACAAATTCCCTTCGCTTGCAGAGGCAACAATTTGAACTTACAAGACTGTTGAAATATATAAAATGCTACCTTTGAAGACAAAGCAGCAGAGCATCCCACCCAGCAAACACACATATATATGCACACATATACATGTACAAAAGAACACACAGATAATTACAATCACAGTGGTAAGATGCACGCCTGTAGTCAGAAAAACCGCACACTGCGTTATGATGCTTATCAACACCTACCAGTAAATAGAAACTCTTCCTATGATAAACTGCATGTTTTGACTGTAGAGGAGTTGCTTTAAGTTCAAGAAGTGTCTTTTCTTCAGGCAACGCTCACAACCAGCTCTCCTCATCATAAGATCTTGGTACTGTTAATATAAAATGGTTGCTATCATTAGCGGCTGTGAATAGTGTATAATGAACACACAGCCTCGGGTAGCCATGGTTCACGTAGTCCCCAAACACTGATGAGCACAGAGATTGAGCTATCTTCTCAACCTTATTACTGTTTTTAAGTCGATTCCAGATATAAGAGGTCCCTGGAATGAAGAGGAGGAACCTCACTGCTGCTGGCACAACGTTTGTCAGTAAATTGCCTTGGGTATTTTATCAACACAGTGCACTGCATTTCCCAGGAACTACGCTATTTTCAAAAACAAATGCTAAAATTATATTGTAATATTTAGACATTCTTTTCCTAGAGGTCAGTGTAAGGACACCAAGTACATTATACCATTACATAAGATGCTTAACGACAAAGGTACATGTTATCGCTATGAGATAATTTTATAGGAATTTCTCATTTGTAAGAAACACTCTTTCCTCCCATTTAGGGATTCTGACACCAGAACACATCTTAACATCCTGAAATCACATGTAAATGTGTACATTTAATCAGGTGATATCCTCCCCCAAACATTGATTTTAATTCAAAGGTACATCTTAAAAGAGGGTCTCTTAAAATGGAAGAAGTGAAATAATCTAATACTGGTATGGCATAGATGTAGTTTTTAAAAATTAAAAAGCACTTTTTCAGTGTTTTCCACTCCTGTTAAGACATAACATGTTTGCCCAGATCACATGGAATGCTCACCACCTCCTCTTGACAAAGCATGAATAATGGCAGCAACCGCACATCTTGTCTGTCTTGCTGCCAAAACAATCACCCTGTGATGTAGTGAGAATTAAAAGTTCAAAACCTTCAACTCAGTTGATTGGGAAGTTTTCATTTGAAGTAAATTCTATTGTGGCCCCATAACCTACATTTTAAAGCACATTAAACAAGGCTATTTTAGCCTTGATGAGCTGACAACTGTAAAACATTCATAATAACACAATTGCAGTCTTGATAAATGCTTCCACTGTGTAATCTATTATAGCAATGATCTACGCATTACAACTACTTCTTAAAGTACCAAAAACATCACAAGATCACATTGTTTACATAAACATACACATGCATGTATATTACATATCTATCTAAGGATGTAATACAAGCCCTTAAATCTCAGCTTTAGATTGATGCCCTTCACTTTTATTATCAGGGAATTTTTCCTTCCATACTGTTATAATTATTTAATATGAATAACTTTATTTTTTCATCCATCAAACAGCAATACTCACCAAGAACCCTAAAACAATCAGTCTTGATAGTGAAGAAAATATTTATCATCATATGCACACTATACACATTATCAACTTCTAATGTATTGTTCTTTTTCTCAAATAGTAAGAAAAAAATGTAAACTGGATTGCCTAAAAGATTTCTTAGAGCTACCAGAATGATTATGTAAGAAAAAAGTAGAAGCAACCTTGCGTTCTTTTAAGATTAAAGGTCCAAAATTTGCAATGTCAAGTGTAGATTCAGTAATAAGTGAAATGTTCTCTTTTTATCTTAATCTTCATTTAATACATTAAACTTATACATATCAGGACATTAGGTTATAGAAAATGTTTCTAAAAGTACTTTCCAAAGTATACCCCTATAGACCTCTAGATGGCAAGCTTTAGTAAATTTTTATGACTGGCCTAAATTCAGTTTCTTAGCAATTCTGTGTAATCCACCTATTGAAATGATTTTCAGTTTAATAAGCTACTCAGATATATATGTGCTTTTAAGGAACAAAGCATTAAAAAGTGAATTACATTTTTTTCTAAAATTTAATCTTTTTCTTTGTGATTACCTAATTGTAAAAAGATGGTGTTCCAGTGACTTCTAGCAGTGTCTCTTTGGTATGCTGGATGTTCTGGAAAAGTTTTGCCTAATTAATGATTTCAGCTAGCTTCTAAAACGAACTATTCCTTTATAATGATAAAGATTAGTTACAGCTTTTGTTATAGGAATTTTGCAGATCTCGAAGGATAATAATAAGAGTCCTTTGAGAAATATAAAGTAGAAGATAGGTGCGTGAGTCTGTCATTAGAATCTTCTCCACCTCAAACATGTCCTTTACAAAACAAATATCTTACATGGCCAATTTCCAAAGAATACATGTTTTTATAATACATCACACATATCTGTTTAATTCTATAATCACTGCTATTCCTTTAATCAAAGTTAGTTATATTTATTTTCAATGCTAATTATATTCAAGGGTTATCATGGATGAACTGAAATAAAATTAGTAGGAGATGATAATTAAAATAAGTGCAAGTGGCATCAAAATGGACAAGCTCACTTTGTGTGTAACATTATTAGCAATGATGTTGAAGAATAAAATCCAGTCATAGCTGGGTACATATGTTAAAGTTGTAATGAGGACTTGAACGATCTCCTAAAGTTAACACTGCTGTGAGAAACTCCTAGCATACCTAATATTGCAGAACCCTCTATTCTGAAAGATGATTCCTCCCCCATATACATGATAACTATGGGGACAATATTTTATCGTGATATAATACTGGCTACGGACTACAACTGGGTATCTGACCCAATTGGCATAAGCATTTGACAAAAGCTGGACAATGTTCTTTTCAAATTCCAGCCTTTGTGACCAGGCTGGGTCGCTGACCCAATATGGACCAATAAGAGTCTTTTCTAAAGATTTATAAAACTGTGAAAAAGGAGAACAAGTATGTCTCCAGTGGCTGAGGCCTCTCTCCAGCGACTGAAGCTGTAATATATATACATTTTATGAGTTAGTGGCAACCATATTTTCCTCCTGTGGGGGTTGGAGAAGTTGAGGAAAGTGAATGAAAGACAAAGAGAAATATTAAAGCAGGTGGATGGAGTTTCTTGGGAATTTGGCTCCTGATTTCAGTTATTTCTGAGGCTGAGCCTTCTTACCTTCCCAACTGTGAGAGAGCCTAGCAGCCACTTATTAAGTTACCAATTTACTTAAGCTTGGACAAGTTCTATTTTGAACACTTAAAACCAATAGAATCTTAACTAATGCTCTTTGTTCTTTTTTAGTTGTGTTTTGAAGGAAAATCATTTTAGAGCTAAATTAAGTTGCTAGGTTTCTAATTCTTAGTTATACAAATACTGACAGTGAACACATCTTTTAAAAATATGACAGATGTGAGATATATACCTTCTTATAAAATCCAAGCACTTTAATTATTAATGGGCAATAAATAAAATAGCACCTTTAACTTAAGAGACTTCCATGCAAAAACAACAACGTTGTGCCATAGAAATGTAAGGAGAACCCAAATAAAGAGAGATGAGATTTTCTTTAATTTACAATTATAAATATAAATCAGTTCTTTTGGAAAATATGTGCATTTTTCATCTAAGAAATATACAAAGATTGATCAAATAGTGCAGGTTAAACTACAATGAAATATAAAAGGAAAGTGGCTTGAGTTCGGCTTTCTAATTCATAAGCTGGATGCTCTTTCAAAACTCCTTATAACTCAGAGTCACATTCTTTTCAGACATTAGACTTCCTCTTTTTCAATGCAAAACCTTGAGTGTTACTTTGCAAATGCTTCTTAGATGCTCACAAAATTTCTTTTAATTTTGGATGGTAACAACTGCCGATGGTTTTTACTAGGAGTTCCTTAAGCCCTGCAACATAGAGAAAACCTGCCTGAGAACAAAGTCAATTCACGAGACGTGAAACAGGTGAAGAGAGAGGCAGTGTCATGAGGATATCACTTGAGCGCATGGATCCACTCATGCCTGAAGCCAGTCCTGCATTTTGTCTTTACGTTTACGTGAGCTAATAATTTTCTATTTCCCCAAAACTAGCTTGTATATGATTTTATTAGGAACCAAAGTAGGCTTGACAAATACAGAATCAAACCCTACTATCTGACTCATGCTTTTCAATGAAATCTCATTCTTCATGGTTGCAAAGGGCAGAATTCACAAATAGAAGAAAAGAAAAAAACGAATTGTCTTTAAACAATTAATATAGATGTATTAGTCCACTCTCACACTGCTATAAAGAACTGCCTGAGACTGGGTAATTTATAAAGGAAAGAGGTTTAATTGACTCACAGTTCCACATGGCTGGGAAGCCTCAGGAAACTTAAAATCATGGAAGAGGAAGAAAATATGTCCCTCTTCACATGATGGCGAGAAGAAGTGCTGAGCAAAAGGGGAGAAGCCCTGTATAAAACCATCAGATCTCATGAGAACTCACTATCACAAGAACATCACCATGGGGTTAACCACCCATATGATTCAATTGTCTCCACCTGGTCCCTCCCTCAACACCTGGGGATTATGGGAACTACAATTCAAGATGAGATTTGAGTGGGGACAGAGCCAAACCATATCAATAGATGTGTAGAGGAAACCTTAATATATTGATGTCTGGATGGAATCACATACATAGAAGCAGCACACATTTCCACAGATCACATACAGAGATGATTGTGTTCAAAATGTTATGGGCATACAGTGATTGACAGAATAAAGTTTTTGGACATCTTGATAAACTTAAAGAAAAAGTAGATTAAAACTTAAAACATAAAATATCAAAGAGATTTATCTTTTGCAACATAAGATTAGAGTCCCACCTAACAGCTCTTCAAGTGAAAAATACAGAGAAGTTTTAGATTACAGCAGAGATGTTCAGAATAATTAATGTGACTTAAGTGAAGTATACATTAATAACATTTTGACTTTTTTTCCTCGGTTTCCTTGCTCTGTAATGTGCTAAACTCCAGGTACCAAAATATTCATAAATTTAATCTTTGCAGAAAAGTATAATTGAAAGATTATATTAAGCATACTTAGGTAAAAACTGGCTAGAAAAAGAAATACCTCTGGGAAAAGTAAAAAGGAGACACGGGCCAGAGACCTGAACCAAACTTCTTGACCTATCAATTCCAAGACACTGTCTTGGATACATTGCCTCATATCTCTAAGTCTCAGCTTCCTCATCCCTAAAATTGGATTGATATAATAGATAATTGTGTGCTGTCTCCCCGGCAGACTTTCCTAGAAACTATCCACCAACCATATAAGATCTGCAACACTCCAACTACACTTGGTTGTTGCGGGTAAAGAAACATGATCCTGATTCGTATATCAGGCCCTTCACTGAAATTCGTGAACCAGAGAGGGCAGAGGGTCTTCAATAGTCAAAGCTGGAAGATGACATCTAAGAAGCTGCTCTTGATGATAGTTATTACCAAACAAAGAAAGGACACCCGCAATAAGAAAGATGCTGATAGAGAGATACAGTTAAGAAATAGTGAGTCATGTTCTGATATTCAAGTCTTTGTGAGCCCATCTGCAATACCTGTTACTTGGTTTTCCAACCTTTCCTAGGCAGCACTCTTCCTTTCCTTCATCTTATAAGTTGGTATCTATCACGTTCTACCAAGAAAATTCCTAATCAGATTATCGAATTTCACATAAGTTTTTTTTAGAAATAAAATATGAATGTAACAAGACTTTAAAAACTGTAAAATACTACCCAAATATAAGACAGTGTTACTGTGGTTATTATCTCTAACTAACTCCAAATGTTGGAGGGACTGTCACATTAAAAAAAAAGTATTTCTTATTATTAGCAGTTTCAAATGGCAACATCAGGGAAAATGGTTTGGTGAAATTTAAAGGAAAGAGGATTTAAGCTCTGTGTAAGAAAGGAAGTTTTAAAAACTGGAGTTTTCTAGTTTTTTAGTGTTCAATTTTAAGATTGTATGGCACTAGGTCTCCATGATTCGTTCCAAAGGCTGAATTCCTTCTAATTTACAAAAATATTTCTTCAGCTTTATTTTTCTTTAGACAAAAAGCCACCTTTTCAAGTTCTATATCACCTTTGTTTTAATATAGAAGTGCACACAGCATACATTATTGATAGATGCACATACATACATATTACATACATTTTAATTTACTCTAAATTTATTTATCTAATATACATATATAGTTTCTAAACCAGTGTTTCTTAAAATGGTAAAATCAATGATTGATTGCTTTTTTTTTTTTTTTCCAGCAACTACTTCCCCTTCTTGAGGCAAGAGCAAACAATCATGATTTGAGGGGATCATCCAACCCTATTCTTTGGCCATGTTTTGCAGGTGAAGGTGAATCCTGGGCTGGAATTGTTCAGGTATAGAGGATACAACCTCCATTAAGCCCATTTATGTACTGAATTTCCTGCTGATAGAAATTGCTACAGAGACAGACACAAAACCTAAACTAGACCAATTAATGCAAATTCAGAAAGTTGCTCTGGACCAATTAAAGGGGCCATCAGGAACTTTGCTGGGAATTCTGGGACCAAGATTCATTTTCTCCTGTTGTAACCATTTGGCCTTGAGATCTACAGGCAGCTTTTATGTGACCATTGGGGAAACAATGGCAGAGTAAGGGCTAATATCTTAGAAATGCAGTAAAGAAATGAACCCAACTGGGTCCTTGGTGACCAGGTTGAGTCACTAGATTAAACCTAATGTCAATCCTGACAAAGGTAACGCTTATATTCCCATTATGTGTTTAAGATAGTTTGAGTTTAGTTGTCTTTAACTTGTAACTGAAAGCATCCTAAATAATGCAAGTGAGCAGATTAAAGGACAGGATTGCTCCACTCATTTGTTTGTTTTATTTTAGACATGGGATCTCACTATGGTGCCCAGGCTGGAGTGCAATGATTATTCACAGGTGTGATGATAACACACTGTAGCCTTGAGCACCTGGCCTCAAGTGATCCTTCCACCTCAGCCTGCCTAGTAGCTTGGAAAACAGGCAAGTGCCACCATGCTCAGCTCATAAAGTTCCACTACTATATTTTTTCAACCTTTACATATCTGTGCACTCACACATTTTACTCTAGTGACAACATTCACAAAATCCACCATAGCAAGGGGTGAGATGGAAAATTTTTTTAAATAAATATTTAAAAGTTTACGTAAAATATTTACTGACCTGTCCATGAACTATGAATTGCCTGCTAAACTGACTGAAGAAAATTCTGAAAAGTCTGAAACTCTAGGTAAAATTATGTAATACATAACATTTGGCTTCAGAACCGTGTTCATCCCCTATCACTCTCAATCAACATCCTCCCCTCCAAAAAAGACATATACAGAGTATTTATCTTTGCCCATCAGTAGCCAGCACATGTTAGGAATACTTTATGAAATCCGACATTTTTTTTCTCTGCAAGATCTTCATCTGGAAAAGCACTGGAGTGGGGAAGGATTTTTATTTTCTAATTCCCAGAGTTATCTACACTCTGAGAGTAGATGCCTATGTATACTGATAGAAGATACACTCCTGTAACAAAAGTTTATAAGGACAATTGTAACAGAATATAGTACAAACTACTGTAGTAGATCTGAATCTCACAGACCACCAACTCAGGTATAAAATTTTTTTTAAAAAAAAAAAGGAACTTTCTTTTTCCATCACTTAGTTTAATTTCTACCTTCATTCCTCATTCTGTCCCATGACAAAAAACTGACTATATTTTTGCTTACTCTCTGCCTTCTAAAATTATCTTCCAGGAGCAGGGGAGAGGAGGTTGTAGATGCTGAAACTAATTTTTAAAATATTTCCAGGAGGCCGGGTGTGGTGGCTCATGCCTGTAATCCCAGCACTTCGGGAGGCTGAGGTGGGTGGATCACCAGAGGTCAGGAGTTCAGGACCAGCTTAACCAACATAGCGAAACTCCGTCTCTACTAAAAATACAAAAGTTACCTGGGTGCTAATTGAGTGCTAATTGAGAATTCTCAGTTAATCTTATTGGTACATCTAACTGAAGCTTTGTCTTAACCTAACATTCTATTTAAAGCCTCACTTTACCAAAATAGTAGGGGAGTTTGGATAGACTTGGAAGGACAATGCTCAGGAAAGTGAGTAATGCCTGAAATCTCCAACATCAGTGATTAGAAGACAGGAAACAGAAAATCCGCTGTATGCTAATGGATGATTCAGAAAAGGGGACAGAAAGGAAGGAATGGTTTTCAAAGAGAATGTCTGAAGACCTTAATTTGCATATAGTTTCCAGAAAACAGGTTTGATAAAGCAAGAATAGAAGATAATGAGCTGGGACATTTTCTCCTCTCCTGCAAGTCTGTGCAACCTCATCAAGATCAAACATAACCTGGCCTGGCTAGAAGTCAATTGGTAAAATAAATTATCAAAAATATAATTAAGTAAGCAGAGAGGCCTGGGCAAGCTTCTTGGACTTTCTCATATCAAAGCTGTAAAAATGGAGCTTTTTGGGGTCATTCCATCAAAATCACTAACAAAGCCTACATCTGGCTTGACTCTGAGCAAAGATCACTCCTCGGAATCAATTAGGGTAATTACAAACTAATGGTGCACAAGGGCACATCTGTGGTTAATTGAGTAACACAAGTTAATCAACCTTTCTGAGTAACAAGTATGTAGAAAATCAAAATCCCTGGTGTCCATTTGTGCTTTCTCTTAAGCCCTGCTACTTAAAATCTGGTCTGGATCTTTTATGGATATGAAAGAGAAAATGTTTGAAGGAGGAGAATGAACAAGACAGGATGATTTTTCTGGCATAAGAGGCCATTAGAGGGGTCCACTTCCTATCACCACTAAACATTTTCTGTCTCAGAAGACTGTCTTTGTGCTCTAGTAAGACAGCAAAACAAAATTAATCAATCAAAAGCAGCTAATCTAGAAAGTATATTGGTCAGTAAGCTAAATATGAGTTTTGATCCAAAACCCTAGCTCTTGGAAGTTTTTACAAGTATGCTAATTTATTATCACTCCCCTGCTGAAGATACATTCTAAAAACTAAGTTTAAAAAATAATACTTAAACGTTAACTTAGGTGAGCACTCCCTTTTGTTTCCAGGATATTTCAGGAGGCATGGTCCATAGAGTTCTTGCTAATGTAAGAGAGCAGAAAATGCAACTCATGATGGAATCCAGCCATCTCCAAACATGACATTTCAGAGTCACTCTCCAATGTGTCTGATTTCCTTGAGGACAGCTTTGTTACAGAAATAATAGCCAAAAACTATTTCTACTGGCCATGGGGGAGGGAAGCTAAGAGCTAATTACGAGTTTGGGTTAAACCATCAAAGTGTATAGATTTTTACCCAGCAACACAATTTCTAACCTAAACTACTTGGGGAGTGAGCTCCTGGTGCCTATGGAAAGTCCACCTTCTAATTGTTATTTAAAGCACTGGGCAAATAAGCCAGAACTATTTTAAAGAACCCAAACAGCTCACATCCTTCACCTGCTGGGTATGCTGCTAACAAATTGGCATTAGCACACACCTTCCTCTGAATGGAAGAGAACAAAGAAAAAGAACAAATGAGATATAAAACAGAAAACAAAAATGCCCTAGGGTTGTTCTGAACTCCGACAGCTCAGCCTAGGTGAATGGTGCTTCATCAGCACAGTGGGAAGTTCCCAAACACACAGGTCCCATGCCCTAGAAAATGCCTCTGATGTGGCTCTCTAATCAAATTAAACAAGAATTTTAAAGAGAGGATGAAAAAAAAAAGTGGCATGTCTTTGTAGGAAGAATATTACTTGCCCTGCCCGCTCTGGAATCAGCACTCTGGCACCACATAACTGTTTGGAGTGTTCTCTTCCAGCAAAGCAGGACTGGAATTATTTACGATTTCATCGTGTCACATAACATGAGGCTACGATGCATAATAATCCACAAAAAGACACCTCAGGTGACACAGATGGTAGCACCAATTGTTTAAGAAAAAAATCCTGATCACAAGCTTTGCATTAAAACTGCTCTGAAAAATGAAATCATCATAAGAAGAAAATAGAACTTTGATTGAATAATAATTCTAAGTAAATGTCAATTTTCCCCATATCCAGATTCATCCTTGCCATTAAAGATGGCTTCTGAATAAAATAAGAAGGAGATCCTTTCTTGTTTCACATGCATAGAGATTAAGCACTGTATGGTCTTTTAAGAATCAAGACTTCCTGCAGGGTATAGAAGGGGTCATATTTTAGAAAATCGGGGTACATGTATATGCAGCTTATAAACATGCCATCATACTCTTCATATATGCACTGTTTCTAAGTGTTCAGTCTCTCAGATATGTGGGAAACAGAGGCCAACAAGCTAATACAGAAACAGGGATGAGAAGATGCTGACTTCAGCTTAAGGATATTTTCTCATTTTTTTCATGGCCTACATGTAAGGGTTAGCATACATAAAAATAACAGATACATAGAGCATTTGAACAACCTTTTCTGAAATGTTGATGGTTGCAATCTCATGCTGAGAATGTCATTTGTATAACCTTAATATTTAAGATGTCTCTGCCACTCTTTAGTTTCGTGCCCTTTATATTCAACAATACACAGATGACAGTGAAAATATCAAATACAGCTGTCATGTTTGATACATAATAACCCTGGGTCCTTCTAAACCCTGGGTTCAGATGGATATAACCTTGCGTTCACTGCTACAGGCTTCCTGGGCAGGTCTTATCTCTGGGTCTGGCCCTGCCCTTTGCAAACCCATCGTAGCCTCTCTGTTATTCTTTTTCTGTCTGTCTGCTTCTAGAGAGCTAAGCCAAAGTTTTCTCTTTTGTGAGTTTTTTTAGGTTTTGTTGCCTGCCGTTCCCAGTCTGCCCCCTCTCTCATACTATCCATAAGCTATTTCAGCATCTTGCTGTCTTCCCTCCCTCGTGCGTGACTTGCCTTGTGAAGCTCACTTACAGCTCTACATTCTCCACACAAGTTGACAGTCTGAGCTGTAGGGTTTCATTTTTAGTGAGCGTTGTGGTACTTGATGTCCCTTTGATGTAAATAGAGCCCTGAAGTTTCTGGGGGAAAAATGGAGCCTTGTGAGTAATGGTAGAAGGCTTAAAGGAGATTAATGAACTAGTCCCACCCAGGAATTCTTCCCCAAATGTACCCAGAGTGAAAAGTTGGCATCCATGACCTGTTCAATTGATTCATTTTTCACCACGTTGAAGGGCAGTCTTGGAAAGGGGAATAATGCTTAATAACCCCAATGGATTTCCAAGCTATTTTTGTACCCCCAAGCACAGCCAGGGCCTCTTTTCTCACCTATTGCCATCAATAATTATTTGTCAGAAAGCTTACAAGGCAGCAGAATGTCCCATGTACAGACAGCTTTCATTTCTGCATCTCAAAATAATATCTTTAGTATTGTGAGTGGTCATCATGGTGTAAGGTGGGACTGTTATTTCAGTCTTCTTCCACATGAAGTCTCTCTCCTATATGTCTCTGGTGTGTATGGCTGGCTCCATACTCCCACTGAGTTATCATGTATGAAAATGGTTCCCGAGAGCTTTAAAGATATCCATAATTTTTTTAGCTGAAAGGGCTTTCCCCAGAGGCTAAATTTATAATCTAATAACATCATTTTTCATCTCCCTAAACAGGCTTTCAGAAAAAGATGTTTCTGAAGCCAAATCTGCAAGTTATGCATACTTCCACACCATTAGTAAAGGAGAATGGCTCTAACACAACTCCTGAGTTGTCATCTACAAGGCCATGTCCTCATGTACTAGCTTTGACTCATAATGAATTATACTCACATCCATATCTATTTAGTAGCACCACAATTCTGGCTTGCTAATAACTGGAAATATGTCAATGCAGAGTTCTGAGAGATCTATACAGACTATTCATATTATTCCTTGCATTTCTCTCCTATCAAGCGGATAGTGTTTTTACAGCAGGGAAAAACAACAAATGACTCTGGAACAGTAATTTAGCAGTGCTCAGTTACTGACTGAAAGCAGCTCATTCAGGGATTGTGCCAGTGCTGAAGAGAGATGAGAACTCCTGATGACTGCTGCAGTCAGCATTTTGACTCTTCTTTACAGATGGTGATGATGGTCTTCCTACATCCTGAGGCACATCGCCGATGCTTTATGGGAAGAATTCTTCCAGATGTCTATGAAATGATTTTCTTATTTAGGAATCCTTGGCAAGGATGTGGTAAAGTCCAAGGGCTTCACTGTGTTTTACTTTGCCTGCCTTGTCAAATTCCGTCAAAGTTGAATATTATCATGCTTTGCAACTTCTTGAGTATTCTGTATCATAGAGAGCCTCATGCATAATGGTAGAAGACTTTAAGGAGATTGATAAATTATTACTACAAAAATATTCCTTCTCCAAAGGCCCTCATGGTGAAGGGGCAGAATGCTTGCTCTTTCCATAACTTGATTTATAAGAGACTGCACAGTACCAATTAATGGCAACCCAAAAGATGTAAGTGAACGCATGTAAAAGCCAGAAATCACAAAAATGCAGTAGGTTCTAAGGTTAGTCTAAGGTTCCTTAACCCTTGAGGGTCTGTCAGGACTGATCTACCTGTAAGGAATTGCTCTCTGGATAACTTTGAGAGGAAGTGAACTTGGGCAAGGCAATTTCGGAGTGAGGACATTTGCTTTGCCATGAATAGGCTTCACCTTCTCAGCTCCTAAGTTTTCATATTTTGGTAGAGGATATCATGTGTGTCTATCTCTGAAAATTTCTGTCATCATTACTTTTATAATGTGCTGAACGATTTAGGATTCTGCCTAGTTCTGACTTTAAAAGAACCCTAATATTGAACAAAAATGATAAAACATTAATATTTTAACAATCCTTCATAGATATATAGAACCATACATTATGGTATAGATAAACATAGCAGAACATTCACCAAGGGACAGAGTAATGGGTAAGTTTATTAAACAAGATCCTATTTGCACATAAAAACAGTAAGTAAAAATTCTTAAGCCTTTATTCCATGCCAGGCATGGTTCAAAGTATTCTACATGTATTCACACATTTAATAACCATAACAAAACTTATGAGGTATAGGCTATTTTCCACATTAATAGGTAAGAAAACTGAGCCAAATTGTAGGTTAGTATTTTGATCAAGATCAAACTGTTAGTAAATGGAAAAGATGGGGTTAAAAGCCAAGCAGTCTAGCTTTGGAGCATGCTACCTGAACCATTATTTTATACTGCCTGTGGTCAACATAGGCAGTATAAAATAGCAAAGCAGTATAACTGCTTTGCTTTAATAGAGGTATTGCTGAACTAAGTTTACCAGTGACCATGGGTGCTACCAGCTATATTGTGGCAATAATGCTGCTTAATAGACTACCCAAAACTTCAGTGGCATGTAAAAATTAGCATTGGTTCTTAACATCACTGATCATCGGAGAACTACAAATCAAAACCACAATGAGATACCATCTCATGCCAGTCAGAATGGCAGTTATTAAAAAGTCAGGAAACAATAGATGCTGATGAGGCTGTGGAGAAATAGGAACGCTTTTATGATGTTGGTGGGAGTGTAAACTAGTTCAACCACTGTGGAAGACAATATGGCAATTCCTCAAGGATCTAGAACCAGAAATACTATTTGACCCAGCAATCCCCTTACTGGGTATATACCCAAAGGAATATAAGTCATTCTACTATAAAGACACATGCACATGTATGTTTATTGCAGCACTATTTACAATAGCAAAGACATTGAACTAACCTAAATGCCCATCAATGATAGACTAGATAAAGAAAATGTTGTACATATACACCATGGAACACTATGCAGCCATAAAAAGGAATGAGATCATGTCCTTTGCAGGGACGTGGATGAAGCTGGAAGCCATCATCCTCAGCAAACTAACACAGGAACAGAAAACCAAACACCGCATGTTCTCGCTCATAAGTGGGAGTGAATATTGAGAACACATGGGCTCAGAGAGGGGAACATCATACACCAGGGCTTGTTGGGGGTGGGGGGGTAGGGGGAGGGAACTTAGAGGATGGGTCAATAGGTAAAAAAAAGAAAAAAAGAAAAAAATGAGCATGAGCATTTATTTATCATGCATCAGTGAGACGTGGCTGATCTATACTAGGCTTGGCTGGCTTTGGCTGAGCTCATTCATCCTCTGCGGAGTGGTTCTGCTCCATATGCCTCACCACCATTTTTTGCTTGAATCTTGTTTGCCAACGTTCTATTGCCTAATGCAAGCCACATGGTAGAGGTCAAGAGTCAGAGTTGAAGGGCTCTATGAAAGGTATATGGCAATGAGTATGGGTACAGGAAGAAGTAAAGAATTGGGTGGTTATTTCAATCGAGTTTAATTGGTTACAAGGAAAGTGAATTGGGTTGGGAGCTAAATTTTATTCTACTCCATTCATTTTTTTTTCAGTAAACCCCCTTCAGTTTCATATATAAGCACCATCTTTACATCTTAGGGATACCAAGATAAAATTCAGGGTTGCTTCTTCAAAAAGACTTGCAATCTTATGGGTAAGATAAACAAGTCAACAGTTACAACACACCATAGTATTGCAGATAGCATTATGAGAGCAAAAAGCAGAGTTCCAAAAAAAGGTTGTATTTAAGCTGAGGAAAAGCGAAAGGTTTGGAATGACTCCCTCAAGACATTGTTTGTGCTGAATCCTGAAGTGTAGATGGTTTAGATTAGAGACTGAGAATAGCAAATGTGCCTAAAACATTTATTAGATGCAGCAGGATGTCAAGAGATGAAGATATGAAAGTCAGACCATAAAGGGATGTGTATATCACTCTAAACAGCCCAAAATATATCCTAAAGGCAATGGGAGGCTATGAAAGATTTTAAGCAAATGACCAAATTTTGTATAAAAAGTATACACAATGACTGACAATTTTCTGATGCATACTTAAATAAGAAGGTAAGTGGTATTATACAGAGGAAAGCCTTCTTAAATATGTCTTCATTTTTATATCCCCAAAGACTCTTTCTTTTTGATGTCTCAGAGTAGCATCAACCCCTGAAGGACTGATTCACATTTAATAATCAATAACATGTGAGATATATACCAAAGGGTTGATTTACTTGTATGCACTGAGAAATATCACTTTCACACAAACCACAAATATTTGAGTCAGAAAGGTTGGTACATTGACTCTCAGTGGCCAAATTATGTGGTCATGCAGTGATCATAATAAAAGCCTGTTTTATTAATTTACTGTGAAATATTATGGGACAAGAACCACGAAATAGAAGGGAGGCAGACTTGGGAATCTGATTTCTTGATGAGCGTGAAATCAAAATAATGACAAGTAGATAAATTAAATGTTTAATGGTAACAGGCAAGGATATCCGAGGTTTTCATCTCACTATAGAGTTGGTCTTTTCATTCAGATTAGAAAAACTTGAGAATTCCTGGCTCCAAATCCAAGATCTAGCCTTGCCAGTGGGACATAAATAACTTGATGTCCAATGACAAGGGTACCCTCTCCATTTCATGATCATTACCATTTCCTCAAATACATGGCCCCTTTGACTTTAGTTCCATGGCTGACTGATGCCCCTTCTGTGCGGCACCCTTTATCTTTAAATATGTTAATACTTCTACCAGAAGTCATTTGGCCTACCCTAAGTCTACTGATCTATAATCTAATATTGATTTTATCATTTATTTCCAAGACAGACAATTATTTCCTTCATTGTAAAATTCCTAGTGGGCTCCTTATCGTAGTCCCTTAAAATTTAAAAACACGGACACTAGAATGAGCTGTCTACAACTATTATATAAACATACACATGCAGTCAAGTGAAAAAAAAAGAAAACAGACATTTTTGGTTATTTAATGATGGTACTCCTCCAGTGAGTTTTGACCTGCAATAAAAGCACATATTTCCTCTAAGTTTTTTAGACCAATATATCCATGAAAACATGCCTTTAATACTTATGAAATTTTAACTTCAAGTCTTTCTAATTATAAAGGGCAACAGATCCTTTCAGTTAATCTTTGAAACAGAAAAATAAAGAATTTGTTTTTTCTCTGATTTCCCATTGTTTTTTCTTGTGTTCTTTATACCATAATCAAAATATTTGAGTGAAATAGAATGTTTTGTTTATGGGTGACTGTCTTTTGTTAATGTTGAGAAACCCTTCTGACACCTAAATAATACTTTGATTACAGTATTCCTGTTTTCTGGTAACAAATTAAGAAACGGAAATCATTACTCTCCAAATTACACACTGATATTGGGTGTATATGGCTTTAACTATGTTGAGGCAACATAGCAATTAAAATTAGGTATTGCATGCACCCACGATATATGAGTTAGGCAGAAAGTCAGAAAAAGTTAACACCCGTGTAGAAATATTGCTACTTTGGTTTCATTTCTGTTTTTTGTTGTGTTTTACATCTGAGTTAGGGATTGAAAGATGCAAGATTACTGTTTTTAACAGAATGCTTTTTTTTACAAGTAGTAGAAACAACTCAAACAAGCTTAATTAATATAGATAATTTATTGCTTTTGAGATTGAGAAGAATTTCAGGTAGTGCTTTAATCACAGATCAAAAGAAATTCTCAGGACGTGTCTTTATTCTTTTTGCATTTCTCAACTTCTCTTCTTGGGTGTTTGCTTCATTTCTTGGAGGCTTCTCTCTCTTCATTCAAGATGAATGGCAGTGGCTCCCCCAAATCACACTTCTGCATTGCCATGAAGCAAAAGCAAAGAAGGACATTTCTAGCACAGTCTCCAACTACATGCTCTGAGATTCACTCTGATCAAACCAGCTAAACAACAGGCCATCTGGGAACAAATATGGCTAGGGAGCCCACGTGCCATGACTGTTCCTAGCAAACATGTTCAGTTTCCTGTAGCACACGGTTGTCATGGGAGCAGGAAGGAGATGTTCATTAAAATCAGAGTAGTGTACCAAGAGAAAGGGAATAAATTTAGAGGTAAATAAATGACCTTACACTCCGCTTTTAATATCAAATATATGCATTAAAAATATTTCTGCCCAGAAATAAATCCATGCATTTGTGGTCAGTTGATTTTCAACAAAGGTGCCAAGAACACACACAAAACATATACAGTCTCTTCAATAAACGGCGCTGGGAAAACTGGATATGCACTTCCAGAAAAATAAAACTAGACTTCTTCTCTCACACCATATAAAAAATCAACTGAAAGTGGATTAAAGACTTAAACAGAGAACCTGAAACTATAAAACTGCTGGAAGAAAACATAGAGGAAAGTTCTATTTGTCTGAGAAATGACTTTTTATATGACTCCGAAAGCACAAACAACAAAAAGAAAAATAGATAAATGAGATTATGAAAAATAGTTTCTGCCCAGAAAAGGAAACAATCAGCAGAGTGAAAAGATAACTTATGGAACAGGAGAAAGTATTTGCACACCATACACCTGATAAGGCATTAATACCCAAAATATATAAGAAACTCAAACAACTCAATAGAAAGAAAATAAATAAAGTGATTTAAAAATGGGCAAAGGACCAAGATAGATATTTCTCAAGAGAAGAAATATAATGGGCAAGAAATATATTTAAAAATTCTTGACATTACTTAGCACCAGAGAAATGCAAATTAAAACCACAATGAGATATCACTTCACAACTATTTGAATGGCTGTTATAAAAAAGATGAAAGATAACAAGTGCTGTCAAGGATTGGAGTAAAGGTGACCCTTGTACACTGTTGGTGGGAATGTACATTTGTACGGTCATTATGGAAAACAGTAAGGAAGTCCCTCAAGAAATTAAAAATAGAGCTATAGTATGATCCAGCAAATCCACTACTGGGTATATATCAAAAGAAATGAAATCAGCATGTTGAAGAGATACCTGCATTTCTAGGTTTATTGCAACATTATTTATAATCACAAAGATAAGGAATCTACCTAAGTGTCCATCAATGGATGAATGAATAAAGAAAATGTGATATATAAATATAATGGAATACTCTTCAATCTTAAAAAGAAGGAAATCTTGTCATTTTTGGCAACATGGATGATCCTGGGGATTAAGTGAAATAAACCAGGCACAGAAAAACAATTACTGAATTTCTTCACTTATGTGTGAAATTTCAAAACGTTAAACTCATAGAATGGTGGTTACCAGGGGCTGGTGTGGAGGTGTAGGGGCTTGGAAGATTTTGATCTGAGGACAATTTTGGTTAGATAGGAAGAAAAAGTTCAAGAGATCCACTGTAAAACATGGTGACTATAGTTAATAACAACATATTGCATTTCGAAAATTGTATTTTTCTATTCTCACCATTAAAAAAATGACATTTGTGATGTAATGCATATGTTAATGACTAGAGTGAGCCATTCAACAATGTATACATATTTCAAAACATCACGTTGTACACAATAAATACATACAGTTTTTATTTGTCAATTAATAAAATATTTTTAAATTCCTATTCACAGTTAATATATTTAGGTAATATGAATAGGATACACACACCAAAAATATAATTTTAGTAGAGTTTTCAATTTAAAAAATCCCATTAATCTAGTATAAAAGGATTAACTAGATTGAAATTGTTAATATATACTTTCACCCACAACAGAATGCCATAACCACTGCTTTGGGCCCTTAGGATATCTCAGAAGTACCACTGCTAATCAAAAGCAATTGAGACTGCTAAGTTCAGCTTCTCTTTCTAGGAAGCCACAAGCTCACAAACTCCCTGTCCAGTTTGCTGTCTTCTGTCATTGCCCTTCTCCATAACAGTAATATGGTGAATAATAAGGAGCCAGAAAGAGCATGAACACATTACCAACAAGGAACAAATGGCTTACCCAGCTCCAGGGTGCTGAGCTTGCAACCCACTTGCGATATTGGGTCATTTAGAAACTAGAAAGCAAATAACACACGCAAATTGGAACATATATTTCTGCATTGTAATGTTCTCTGCCCGTGTGGTGTTTTCTCCATATTTTAACTTGTTTTATATTGGCTTTATTGAGAGATTTACATCTTACTTTTTTTCTAAAGAGCTACTAGTTATCCTTTGGTAGCAACTAAACCAAATATCTGAATCTCCTTCTCCAGGGGTCTTTAAATCTGTTGTATTTTTATATGTTTCTATTTTCCAGGAAGCATTTATTCTATTTCAAGTGGTGTAGAAACCTCACTGGCTTTTGCAAAAGTAAATATTTTATCCCCTTTCAAGATGAATTGCAATTTTCTACCAGCCTTGAGCGGTGAGAAAATTTAAAAATGTCCACCTTACAGCATCTAGATTTCGATGAACTGAACTACCAAATTGTTCTGTGCATTTAATAAATTGTTCATTGGCAATGAATATTTCTCTAGTCAAGGTTGGTGTTACAGGAATTTAAGATACAGAAGCTCAGCAATAAAATGTATATATAACCAATGGCCTTGGAAAAGAATTGATTGAATGTGGGTTTAAAATAAGGTTTTATACAATCTTATGAGTGTTTTAATGAATTATTAGGTATTTTATTATAACAAAAATTTAACTTTTATGCTAAATAGCCAAGGAAAGATATATTTGCTTCAGATTAATATTTCTATATAATGGAACTTAACTCACTTTCAAGAGCTCCTTTTTAAATGATTACCAGCTTGTACATAATAAAGGGGGAAAAACATATCGTGAGTTACAGTTAACTATTTGAACTAATAAAATATTCTATTGCTTAATCACGACATAAAACTCCTTATCTGTAAGTATTTGTTGTAATCCTAGTTGGCTTCACAGGAATTGTTGATATTAAAAATACTTAATTTTATATATAAGGTGAATAGTTGATATAAAGAAAATGCAATAAATGTAAAAGAAGCTTCATAGTACATTTTCGTAATAAATATTCAAATACTTTAGTTTTTCCTCTATGTCCTTCCAACTAAAACTGCTCTCAATATTTCTAACTCAAAATAGAAGGCATTGCCTCTTGCCTAGACTTTCTGACTTTACCTATTGATGAGGCAATGGTGTGACCCTCATTTTTCTCCTGCAGGAATGAGAGTCTCATTTCCCAGTTGCTGAATTACTGCTGGCAACTTTCAACTGAGTCTGCCTCAAAATTTCTTGAAGCCAAGGCTCCAAAATTTGAGGTGTATTGGGTGAGCTTAAAGCTCAGATGGCTGTACCCCCAGACTTCTGATTTAGTAAATCTGGGGTGGAGCCCAATATTCTGCCTTTCTAACAAGCACCAAGGTGATGCCAATGCTACTATTCTGGGAAGCTCACTTTGGAAACCAGGGTCTTAAGCTGAAGAGAGCTGCTCATCCAAGGTGACACTTCCCATCTGGCGCAGCTCAGATCCACTGTGGGTACATAAGCCAGGCCTCCTTGCCTCAAAGGGATAAAGCGAAAGGACTATCTCAGCTCCAGATCTCCCACTGAGACTGGCTGAGCCATTTGTTATCATTGTTTGGCATTTCAACAATTCTCTCTGTCCAATCCTATTTCCATTCTCCCCCTTCTAGGTTTTGATCCTGTGGGTGCAACGAGACCCAAATCAATCTGATTAAAACATTTATCTAATATTTTAATGGCTGATCAGCATTTGTAGAAAGCCATCCAAACTTGTGTCTATATTTTGTATTCTTCCCAATCCTAGGCTGATAAACTTCTCAGCTTCTACTGGCTGTGGAATGCTGCTACAGAAATGAGTACAAATTCATAATGTGCTGATCAAAATGAGCCCCACATGGGTGATACCAGAGTCCCTGTCCAGGTAGATTTCTCTCCTGCTCTTCACACTAATACCTTTTCAATTTTCTTCCTACTTCCTATTCCACCATTTCTTGACATACTGTCAGAAGATGGCCAGTTCATCTCTAGTTACCTAGTTACACAAACCAGATGCCAAAGTCATTACCCACCTCTTCTTTCCCCTTATTCTCCAAACCTCACCCAATATCAATTTCTGTTGATTCTACCTAGAAAATCTCTCTCCAATGTTTCTACATCTCTTCTTTCTAACTGTCCATTTAAACCCTAGTGCAGACAAATAACATTCATCACTTAGATAACATTCAAGCCTTCCTAACTAGATCCAGGTATTTGTTACCACTAATCTATTCTGTACTTTGGCAATGTCTCTAAAACAATAATCTGATTTTCTTTCTTCCTTTTAATGCATTCCTTTTATCCTCTTCTACTACAAATGTGCCCATGACCCACACAAATAGATCTCTGGATAAAGTTCAAAATTCTCAATTTAACGCCTGGTGTGGTGGCTCACGCCTGTAATCCCAGCACTTTGGGAGGCTGAGGCAGGTGGATCACTTGAGGTCAAGAGATCGAGACCATCCTGGCTAACACAGTGAAACCCCTAAAAATACAAAATTATTTAGTCTCTACTAAAAATACAAAATTAGCCAGGCATGGTGGCGCATGCCTGTAATACCAGCTATTTGGGAGGCTGAGGCAGGAGAATCACTTGAACCTGGGAGGCGGAGGTTGTAGTGAGCCGAGACCGTACCATTGCACTCTAGCCTGGGCAACAAGAGTGAAACTCCATCTCAAAAAAAAAAATCTCAATTTAGATTACAATCCTGCTCATGATCCACTCCTTCTTCTATCTCTTATCTTATCTTATATCTCCACATTCAACACAATATGCTCCCATTATGCTAAACAACTGGAAGTTTCTGAGCCTTTGCATAAGCCACTCATTCAGAAAAATGTCCCTGGGTTACCCAGACTAAGACAACAAACAAACGATTTTATGGAAAGACACTTTAAAGTTTTATTTTCCCTGATAATAAATTAGATCCTGAGTGGCTGGTCATAAAATCCCCAGCTGAGAAACACTGTCTTAGATACAATCCTTTCATATAAAAGCAAAGGCAAAGAATTAGAGCATTTGGGGGGCTGGAATGGACTTTAAATAAAAGCAAGGCCAACTCCCTTATTTTCCAAATAAAGAAAATGTTTACTCAGAGAAGCTAAATGGACTTGTCTGATGGATAGTAAAAGAGTTAGAACAAGATCAGAATGAGTGCGGGTAAAGTTGAAGGAAATCTGTAAAGTATCAAAGAACAAAAAAAAAAAAAAAAGGTGCTTATGGAGGTGTCACCATTAATTTTGAAACTCAACACAAATAAACCCAAAGTGTGTATGCTGGAGAGGGGGACAAACTAGGAGCACAGAATCCCACACTGATTTCCAAGGTTATCATCTTTCAGAAGGCATTGTTGCCAGAGTTTCTTTATTGAGGGCAACAGATATTTAGAATGAGGGGATTTACATATATCTTCATCTCTTTGAGTGTGCCAGTTGTAACTCTAATAGCTCATGTCTCAGGAAGAAAAGTATTTTATATTATTAACTGGTATACCCATGTGGAGCAAACATTCTCATCCACAACTAAATAATAAAAAATGCCACAAGCAACCTCTAATATTTTCTACTCTGTTTTATTATATTCTAAATAATTAAGAAAAGGACTGGTTATGATCTGCTTAACTGTTTTCTCAGTCCAATAGTGGGGTGTAAGCAATAGTTTGAAAAATAATGTGCTTGATTTCTCATTATTTGACCTCTGAATTTGCGGTCTTCTTTGTGTTCTTTTGTCCATAACATCAACGATGCTTTTTCAATAGCGCCAATATATTTTGCCTTCTTGGTAAATTGCATTGGTCAATTAAGATTAAGCCATATAGCAGGAAAAGAGAATATAATGTTTCTTACTCAGCTGAGACTGCCATAACAAAATACCATAAAGGAGGTGGTTTAAACAACAGATATTTTTCTTTTTCACAGTTCTGGAGTCTGGAGTCAGATCAGTGTGCCAACATGGTCTGGTTGTGAGAGCCCTCATCCTCGCTTGCAGGTGGCCTCCTTCTCACTGTGTCCTCCCATGGCAAAGAGAGAGTGAGAGAGAGAAAACTTCCTGGTGTCTCTCCTTATAAGGGCACTGAGTTCCTCCTGAGCACCCCACTTTCGTGACTGTAAATAAACGTATTCATCTTCTCAAAGCCCCATTTCCAAATACCATTAAACTGGGGGTTAAGGCTTTAACATATGAATTTTAGGGGGAACACAACAGTTCATGGCATAAGGTCAACCAGCATACTTCCATATGCAAAGGGCCTTCCAGTCCTGGAGGAGAAAAGGACCTGGAGAAAGAGGAATTGAAAGGTAGCAAGTAGTGTTTCATCCTTGAAATCAAAATTCGAGGAGAGGTTGTTAGAAATACCTTTATAAATGGAGGAGAGTTTATTCCTTATTTTCATGTTAAAGTTTATACAATTTCAAAAACCCTTGGAGAAGCAGCTTGACAACATAAGGTAGCTGCCACAAAGTATTAATGATGACATGATGTGATTTGGCAGAGAACAGATCCTGACATGGTGACCTCTCATGCTCCACAGCCAGGGAAAACGTGAAAGAAATTCAAAAGTTTTTACATGACACTCATTGGGTGTTTGGTAGCTAGCTCAAAGTCAGACACTTTGATATCCCAGTGTCATGAATCCTGGCAATAACGGAAGTGTGTGTCCTGGGTAACAGAAGGAGATTTTCTTGCACAGACAAAGGACATTTATACACTACACAGAAGACGTAACAAGGACAGAAGCCAAGGCCTGAAAGTAGGCAAGATTGATGACATCTCAACTGGAGGTACCCAGAAGCCAATAGATAAGGACAACATAACATTATGTATGTTCTCATGGTGCCCAAACATCACCCAGAGACAGAAGTAAAAGAGAATGGAGAGTGATATGATTTGGATATGTGTTCCCTCTAAATTTCATGTTGAGATGTGATTTCCAAATGTTGCAGGTGGGGCCTAGTGGGAGGTGTTGGATCATGAGGGTGAATCTCTCATGAATGGCTTGGCACCATCGACGTGGTACTGAGTGAGTTCTTTCTATGTTAGACCCCAGGAGAGATGGTTGTTTAAAAGAGCTTGGCACCTCCTCCCTTTCTCTCTTGCTGCTTCTCGTCATGTGACTGGCTGGCTCGCCTTCACCTTGCACCATGATTGTAAGCTTCCTGAGGCCTTCACCAGGAGCAGATGCTGGCACCATGCTTCCTGTACAGCTTGCAGAACCATGACCCAAATAAATTTCTTTTCTTTATAAATTAGCCAGTCTCAGGTATAGCAGAGACAAAGTCTCAAGTCCAGGTATTTAGCACAGAGATATTGAGAAAGGCAGAAAGAAATTGTTGTTAAACTATAATAGGCTGCAATATATTTAATTACCAAGTTTGTAACTTAAAATGTGACACTGTTATACTTCAGTTTTCTTTTCTTTTCTTTCTTTTTTTTTTTTTTGACGGAGTCTCACTCTGTCGCCCAGGCTGGAGCACAGTGGTGAGATCTCGGCTCACTGCAAGCTCCACCTCCTGGGTTCACGCCATTCTCCTGCCTCAGCCTCCCGAGTAGCTGGGACTACAGGCACCCGCCACCACGCCCGGCTAATTTTTTGTATTTTTTAGTAGAGACTGGGTTTCACCATGTTAGCTGGGATGGTCTCGATCTCCTGACCTCATGATCCTCCAACCTCAGCCTCCCAAAGTGCTGGGACTACAGGCGTGAGCCACTGCGCCCAGCCCTGTTTTCTTTATATACTCCCTCTCCATTAAAATATTTTGTCCTGTCACTATAATTTAAGAAATGTATAAGGTGATTTCTAAAAATATAACACAGGTTTTCATAAGGCGCTTGGGTCAAAAACTATGTGATTTTTGTGCTAATATATTTAAAACCAAGTAATTAACTCTTCCCCTTACTCTAAAGATGATAATAGACTGATCTATATGCCACATGTCGATATCACACTTGTTGCACAAAGTTTCACACAGTTATTTATTTATTTGAGACAGTGTCCGGCTTTGTCACCCAGGCTGGAGTGCAGTGGCACAATCTTGGCTCACGGCAACCTCTGCCCTCCTGGGCTCATGTGATCCTCCTACCTCAGCCTCCCAAGTAGCTGGGATCACAGGCATGCACCACCATGCCTGGCCTTTTTTTGTGTTTTGTTTTGTTTTGTTTTGTTTTGTTTTGTTTTGTTTTGTTTTTTAGTAGTGACGGGGGTCTCACCATGTTGCCTAGGCTGGTATCGAACTCCTGAGCTCAAGCGATCCACCCGCCTCAGCCTCTCAAAGTGCAGGGATGACAGACGTCAGCCACCCTACCCAGCCACAGTTCTCATTTATAAAACGAGTGTTCTTCGTACTGTTTTATATAAATACTACACTTTCCTTGGAGTCCTCCAAAGTATGTGAAAAGAAACATGTATAGCAAAGGCTAAGTCTGAGATAAACCGTCATTTCTGGATAAATCTGTAACTAAGAACAGGATAACCTTCATTTAGCCACGGAGAATTGTAATACCATAATACTATAATTGTCGTGCTATGCTTAGCTATTTTTAACTGATTGTTGACTTTTACTGTGTGCCTACCATATACTCATCACTGAGCTAAGTAGGCTCTGAGAATACAGACTTAACCGGGCAAATTTTTGCCCTATCAAACCTGGTTGCCTAATTCATGAAAGAAAATTAAACATTTACAAAAAACAATGCCAGCTGTGGCATGTTTCTTATGTTATAGAGCAGCGGGGAGGGTCTTTTTAGTTGTGCAAGGGGGCTGCATAGGGGAAATTGTGAGGGATAAAAGACAGTTCCCCAGGTGGCCTTGGACTGCCCCAGTTCTCCCTCCTTTCTCACTTATAGTTCTCAGGAGTATCTGTAGAATGTGTTGTGAATGTAATATCATGAGACAGACAGGGATTGGCAAGCCCTGGTTCCGTTCCAGTCTCCCCTACTAGAAACAGGATGTCCTTCAGGCTTTATAGCTCAATGAGCCCTGCGGCCCAGGACATAAAACCCAGGGTGGGCTGCTTTCCTGGGTCCCTTGGCTGCGGTGCAAGTGGGGCACGTGCAGATCAGACTCCATCTGCACTAGACAGCTTTCTTGAACCTTGGGGAGTGGCTTTTGAATCTTAGTTTTCTGTCATCTTTGCTGCCTATCTCTAAGTAATAAACCCACTTCAAGTAACTTGTATGTGACTGTTCTGTCTCACCAGACTCTGACCGCTTGGTAACCAGTGCACAGTGAATGTGCTTCACAGTAATAACTGGACTCGATCTTAACTTATAAATAGGAATTTGTTTGTTTTTTAAATATTCCTTTCTTACACTGAAGAGGCGTGACTGAATCTGGTAGAAATATTAGAATGGAGCAAATTGGTGCCACAAAACATATTTGAGATTTAATTTTGAGGTTTTACTCATGATTTCATATGCTGGGCACTAAAATAAGTCACTTAAACATAACTTTTAAAAGCCAGGCAGTGGTTGTTTATTTTGAGGAAATCGCAATATATACCTGTAAATATGGACAGATACCAATGGTCCTAACATTATCAGAATTGTTACTGTTGGCTTGGAAGAAAATATTTCAGAAAAGAGTAAACATTGAAATGATATAATGAATAACTTTTTCTCCCAACTAAATATAACCACAATGAATCACATAGCAATTCAAATATTTTTTTACTTCAGAATATTTGGACAGGTCTGAACATGAGGCAACTTGGAAAATCCCTTGATAATTCAAAAATTGACTCGTCATGTTGAGGGGATGAGATTACAAATGCATGAAACCCTGACCTAGATTAGACCAGTCAGATTCACTCTCTCAAGAATTTTAAATTCCAACAGATTCCAAGTGCTGGACTCTAAATAACTTGTAAAATAGGACTGGAACAACCATGGTTACCTATCAGCTTTGTTGTTAGGCAAGCAGTGAAAGCTCAACTGCAGAAGAGTCAAGTGCTGAGGAAAGTAGGATTAAAAGTCATGTGGAACCAAGAGAGGCAGGGAGAGATCGCGATAATTTGATTGTGTTGGTTTCTGGGTTGCCTTGATTGCCTTGTTTGGGTGCTCTCAATTTCAGTCCCTCACAGGGCCTGGCTGCCCTTCTTGTCCTTGGATTTTATGGGATCCACCAAGATTGCTCCGGGCACTGACTAGATAATTGTGAATGAGTTTTGTTACATCCAAGCAAATGATAAACACACTTGTACTAAAAAAAAAAAAAGAGAGAGAGAGAAGGCAGCCTAAGACCAAGTAAGAAAAGGCTAAATGTTGTGCAGCACAATATATACATGTTTATCACAGTGCTTACTTACTTCTTGACTCCATTGAATGAAAACAATAGAATATAAATCAATTCATATGCTGCCTTCATATTCCCCTGGGGTACACAGTAGTACTAAAATCATATCTAATTTAGCTGAGTGAGGTGGCTCCATAATTTCATCTATGATATTCAGTTGAGAGAAAAAGCTATTCATTTTATCATTTCAATGTTTACTCTTTTCTGAAATAGATTAATTTAAATTGCTCAGGGTGATCTTGGAATATCATTTGACATTATGATTTTTTTCCAGTCTGCAAAAAGGTTTAAAAAAAACAGTAGCTGTTAGCCATTTATTTCCAAATGTCCAGATATATTGGATGTCAGATTGATTTTTCTGATAATTATCCAGATGTTGAACATATGTAGAGTAAATGTTAAAAATAGAATAAGCGACTGCCACTCAATAAGTCATAGGTTAGGGCAGCATTCCGAATAGAAAAATCTTTGAAGAGGCAAAGTGTCCTTAATGACATCAATGACATTTTTCCATTGAATGGCTGCCCTCACCATCTTATTCTATTATGCAGTAACTTTATAGAGGCTTTCCTTGCCAGTGGCCCCCTCTAAATTCCTTTTCTTATTAACTTTTCAGAAATTCTTCTGCACAAAAGGGATTGACAGTTGCTCACTGTAAGGTCTCCCAGGAGAACTGTCATTTTAAGCCTTTAATTAAACAGAGCAATCTTTTACTTTAGGATTTTGCAAAACGTAGTCAATAGAAAAGGGAACGTTTGAGGAACAAAGAAGTTTCCTTGATTCTCTTATATCCTACCAGGTAGGTGACTGTTCTATCCATTATCCTTAGCAAATCAGGCCTTGCTTGGCAAAAGAAGTATTAAGTAAAGATAATTCCAAAACTTATTCAGTCTTATCATTATAATCATTATCATTGCTATTCTACTTTATGAATCATCTTTTTTCTTTGAAATCTTACATATTTTCCCCCAAAGAGAAGAAAACAAAAAAGTAAAATGAACTAAAAGAAGCATTAAACATATTCTATCCAGGAGATATGTTAGCAACAGCAACTTTTATGAACACATGTAAAATAAAATAATTACACAATAATGTACATACACTTATTCAAACATTCTCTGCAAGTTTTCATGAAACTTACAATATACAAGTCCTTAAGGCAAATAATGTTGGCAGAATGCTGGAGTGGTGAATAGATCGCCTATCTGCCACATCAAGATAGATTGCCTATCTATGGGATCTCATTGGGGGTGGCACCGCAGATGGACTCTAGTCCATGATTAAGTTAGGAGAGGACCTAGTGCTCCCTAAACTAAGGCGGTAGAAGTGGTAGGTCACGCCATTAGTTAATACACCAAATAGCTGTAGCCATAAGGGTCAGACTCCTGACCATGACAGGGAGAGGATCAGTGCTTCTTAATCATGCATCTTAAAACTAAACTAGGCCGGGCGCGGTGGCTCACTCTTGTAATCCCAACACTTTGGGAGACCAAGGCGGGCGGATCACGAGGTCAGGAGATCAAGACCATCCTGGCTAACACAGTGAGACCCCGCTCTACTAAAAATACAAAAAATTAGCTGGGCGTGGTGGCAGGCACCTGTAGTCCCAGCTACTTGGGAGGCTGAGGCAGGAGAATGGCGTGAACCCGGGAGGCGGAGCTTGCAGTAAGCCGAGATCGCACCACTGCACTCCAGCATGGGGGACAGAGCGAGACTCCGTCGCAAAAAAAAAAAAAAAAAAAAAGCTAAACTAAACTAAGGCAGCAGAAGTGGTAGGTCATGCCATTAGTTAATAGACCGAATAGCTGTAGCCATAAGGGTCAGACTCCTGACCATGACAGAGAGAGGATCAGTGCTTCTTAATCATGCAACTTAAAAATCACACAGCGTTAAGAGCTGAGATCTCTCTCCCAAGTCAGATATCTGTCCTAGCCAAAGTGCAATGGACCACACCAAAGCCCACATCTGCTGCTTCTATTACTTTGTGAATCTTCTCTGAAGAACTCTTCCCCCAGTAAGATGAGCATGTATGAGGTCTGGCAATTTGCCTTTGTTTTTATGAAAATATAAAAATATAACATACAATGAAATAATGTAATAGATGTATACCTATATTGATTTATCAAATACTTACTATTCATTAATCTTTCAACAAATAATTTTTGAGACTAAGTCTGTGCCAGAAACTGTGTATGTACAATATATACACAGCATTGGGGTACAAGATAAAGGTCAAGACTGGGCTTTGAAATTAGGATTACTGAGTTAGAATTGCAATGTTGCTTGTGATTGGTAGTGTGAGTTGAGCAAGTTCTACTCTCTGATTCACATTTTTGTTCCACAAAATAGATACATTTGCAAGGTTGTCATGGTGATTAATGAAAACGTATGAATAGTACTTAATATAAATATGACAACTATAGAATTCCACTTTGGTCAATATATTATCACACTTTTCTTTGACAAAGAATCCTGATAATCAGGACACATAAAAGAATTCTTAATTTCAAAAATGCAAATGATTAAGCAATAAGTTAGAAGAATATTAGAACCAGATTCAAAAAAAACAAACTTCTTAGTAAAACACGGGGGTGTCCCTTATTAAAATAGTCTGTTTAAGCATGGATGAATAAAACTTCCACAGTATCTGTAAATATCTTAGTCCAAAATTCACACCGATAATCATTAATTATTAGGCCATTTATCAGTGGGAAAAGATATCAGTTCTCAGTGACTAAAAACAAAATAGAGGAAAAAAAAAAGGCTTCTCAAGAAATCTCCTCCCATACAATTTCATAGAACACATCTAATAAGTCAGTTGTGTAGGCGGGTTGCTAGGGAATGCTGTAGTTTAAACTACTTATGTGATAGCTTTGAAAACATGAGTCCATGTAGAAATTAAATTTTAAGAATTAATGGTGAAATCCAGCCACAAGCACACATTTTGAAGACAGTACATAATGTCACAGATTGTACGGAATATCCCACTGGTAAGCTGTAATAACCAGGTGACTTTGGTATGATAGAGATACCCATGATAAGGCTGAGAGGATGTTATTAATAGAATAGCCTTTGCCATATCTCGCTGTAGATGCAGTTTAAAGTTCCTTTAATTTAAGCAAATAAGCCAAAAGCTTCTAGTTCAGAGCTCTGAACACAAGGATTATGCCAGGGATGTTATGTAATAAGTTAACTAAACTGGTTTGTTCCTCAGGATTTTATTCCTTTTCCTATACATTCCTGAGGAATTTACTTCCCTTCCATAACCCACCCTCAATAATGGAATAGCATAAAGTTGCTTTGAAGTATATGCAAGGGAAAGCATGAGAAAAACATGCATTTTTAAGAAAAAAAAACAAATGAATTACCCTGGTTTCCTATTTTATGAGTTGAACTTACTGCAAAAACAAGACAAATACTTTTCTAGTACGCTCTTTGGGGAAGAAATTTAAAAATTTGAATATGTAGAATACATCATCCTCAACTAAGTACTAAATGTAGAAGAATAAATGAATGAAGGAATGAATGTTTCCCAAGTATTAGATGCTTTAAATACATGATTCTATTTCCTATCCATCATAACTCCATTTTAAAGAGAATGAAGCTGATACACAATGACTCTTACTCCAGAAGGCAGAGATGGGATGCCAGAATTCTAGATAGAGCCATATCCTCAATCATCTTTTCAATGGGTGTGGGTTGAAATTAAAGGACAAATTGAGAAGATACATAAAATGTATTAATACAATCTATTCATGAAGGAAAGAAGATTACTAAAACATATTGCCTGTTACTGAGACAGAGTAAAGAAAAATGATCCACTAAGTAGCTTCTAACCTGATTGGTGGAAAATAGAACAGGATGGCAATAATTGAACTTCTATATGAATGTGCATAGGCTGTACTCGTAAAGGTATTAGGTATTACTTTTAAAACCAATGAGCTTCACCTTGAGGCATTGTCATCTATTCGGCTTCCCTCCTTAGCTGAAGATAGTTCAATAAGTTACTTTTTCCTACATTGAAATAAATTTTATAAAAAGGAAAACTTTTTTTCAATTAAAATCTATAATAATGAATGAATTTTACTGTGCTTCTGTAGTTCCACCATCACTTCTAGGGTATACAATTAAATTGCCTGAAGATGGAAAAAAATATGCTCCAGGGAGTCATTCAGTATTGGCTAAAGAAACACACTATGTTTTAATGTTTCTTTCACTGTTGTTGATTTCATCATGTGTTTCGAAAATGCTAACATCGAGCCCTTGGAAATCCCGACTTCTCAGTTTCTTTCTTGAATTCTATGGGACTGCAGAATAATTTAAGCTTTTCATCTGAGTTAGAATCTGTATTTCTGCAGTTCATCAACCTCATCTGTCACGTATATGTCACTGAAATTAGAAAAACCTTAGAAGGCAGAAAAAAATTAAAAACAAATTAATGTGGGAAGGTGATATAAATCAAGTGGTGAAGCCAAGAGTGAATTATCAAAAGATCTTTCATCAGAAGTGAATACATTTTCCTTTCTCTCAAGAGGAGCCCATTATGTGTTTTTGTTTGCACTATTGTACTTGAAGTGGCATATTAAAGGAATAGATTTATTAGGATTTAGAATGTGTTTCACTCTGATAGGAAAGAATGGTGGTCCTTTAAATTTCATTTGAAAAGACTTAAACCTTGAAAGTCGACACAGGCCCTGGCTAGTAATGAATGCTATGAAAAACAAATACTGTTTTTAACTTAAAACACATGCCTGAATCATCCCCCATAAGAAAAGAAAATATCACAACAAGACCAGCTTACAATTAACATTATTTATTCTATCTAAAATCCTTATAGTTTATTCAGTCAAATATGAGAGTTTGACATTTTTTAGCAAATTCATACTCTGTTTACTGAGAGGGAAAAGAAACAATTAAAACAAGGATTGCTTACATTTTCTCAGCTTGTTTCTCCTCTGAGTTAAACTAACTGGCTTTACCAGTGGGTTTTGAAAGACTCATCTATGTCAAACAGAAATCTCAATAAGGGGTTTGGGATTGCCAAACAATGAGGGAAGATCAAAGATAGATAGAAATTCAACTATAAAGAAAAATGTGTTTTTTAATAGCTCACCAATCACATCTGCTTTTTTAATCAGAGAAACATAACTTTCAATATTGTAGTTTTTTGGAAGAGTGTGTGTGTCTGTGTGTGTGTGTGTGTCACAGACAGACAGAGAGAGAGAGAGAGAGAAGAGAAGATGAGAGAGACTGACTTAGGAAAGCAATGTCTGAGCATTTACCTTGGCTTAAGATACCAATAAGTGGTATGATCTGGGGAAGGGCACCATTGCAATAGAAATAATGTTCTGATCATGACATCTGCAAATATCTATAACAATAGGCAGAAAGGGGTTTTTCTTTTATAGACAGGAATAAATAAGGCTAGAAACAACCAGGTTTGGAAAAATGGGATAAGGGGGGCCTAGTGAGATCAGAGAGGTCAGCCTATTCTTGGCAGGGGTGGGTCTTAAATGAGCAGTGGTATGCTGGCTCAGGTGGAAGGTGGTTCAAACAAGGTTCGAGGAAGAGTGAAAAAAAGTTCTTCCAAACAGGACACCATGGATTGTTACTGGTATACCCACTACTACCACCAAAAGCAGTGAAGTTACATCATAAATTCTATAATTAATTCCATAACAGTGAAAAAAAATTAGTTCTGCTCATCAGTGACAAAATGACAATAATTCTCATTCAAATTTGCTGTTTAGAAGCAGTCAGACCTTTTATCACTATTGTGATAAATTAGAGTGGGAATGAAGCCTGTGTTTTCTGTAATTAAGCAGTAATAATGCCATTTCTGACATACTTTGTCTCTGTCATCAAGGTGATATGATTTGCTTCTTAATTACATTTCTGGCGAAAGTGAAATAACAAAGAACCACACCAGTGAATTCATCTCCTTATAATACATGTTACAGTGAGTCTTGGTTAATGCTAAAGAGGTAGCAAGGAAAGAGGCTCGGCAAACCAGATTAGATTTTCCCTTCCTCTTACTTGTCCTAGTATACCGGATGTTATTATTCTGCATTTCATAAATTAAATGTAATTACATTTTAGTGTCATCTCCATTTCTCATAATGTTGAAATGTTCATTGAGCTTACCAAGAAGCCTTAAATGTGGGTGCATGGGAAGTGGGATGAAGAAAATAATGCCAATCCTGATTTCTATATGCTATTATCAAAGCTCCATTTAACCACTCTTCTAGAGGTGGGGCAGTCACACCTAAATTACACCATCGACTAATGGAGACCAACTATAGAGACTCCAAAAGTCTTATGAGCAGTAATTTTTAGAGTTATTCCATTATGCTTTAGGCAGCAATATTCACAATACCCATCTTAGCATTTGGTGAATAATTCTGAATCTGAAGCATTATTTTCCCCCTCTCACTTAATCATAACAGGTAAGTTCTGTCACCCTCCAGGTCTCCTCTAAAAGCTACCACGTCTTTGTACTGCTTACAGCTTTGTCTCAAGCAACAAGTCCCACCAACTAGAAAAAGATCCTCTTCCTCCTCCACATTCTCAATTTGGAAGAGCCAGCTGAGAGCAATATGGTGGAGTAGGTTGACCTCAGCTGACACTTCGCAAATATTTATTTAGCACTGTGCTACATGTGAATAGAAATAAAGATAAATAAAAAGAGGGCCCAAGCCCTTCAGAAGCTGACAAAGTATGAATTCACTTGGGAAGATTCTGATAAGTTTATTCACACTAAACAGTTATTAGCTGACAAGTGTTAGTTCCATCAGGTGTTATTACAACAGGTTCCTTAGCAACCCAGTTTCTTCTTCTGTGGTTGGTAGGAAGCAGGGGGAGAAGCTGAGGTACTAGGGTATTTCTGTGTGGGAACAGCTTTAGAAGAAATCTGTCAGAGAATTATAAAGTTGCCCAACTGAAGCTCCAGAGAATCACCTGCCAACCTATTTCATCCTGGGGCTTTCACAGAATGGGCTCCCAGGAATGTCCCTTAACAGATTTTCTGCCAACCAAGAAAGCAAGTATGCAGAGCTGACCTTGGAGCCAGGAGCTTCAGGAGACTCATTTTCTCATTAAGAATTGTATTCCCTTTAAAAGCACCATAATGTAGCCTGAAAAACTTCCTTCCTTTAAGAGCTTGTTTCATAGCCTGACACACTGTGGAGTAATAGCCACAGAATTTAGGTTTAATTGGCAGTGATCCTAAAGGGCACCACTGTATCAAATGTTTAGAATGTTAGGAATTTTAGGCTAGAAGTCAAGTGGCCTCCTGAGTGAATTTCACATTTCAGTAAGTGTATAAATGACATGTGCCCTGAAGAAAGACTTGGGGGTGGGGACAAATTCTAGACAGCCTTTTTACAGGAAATATTTGTACATACAGCATATGTGTGTATACATACATAATTTCTTATATTTAATTTGTGATTATTTAACAATAAACAATTGAAAATCAGGGACCAGCCTACTCACACAAAAAAATTATACAAAATTACTTTTATTAATTCTATAATCATCAAACAGTAAAAATGAAAACTTAGGGCTCAGAGTACTTACAGAAGTCTTCCTGCAGAAAATTATGGTGACTTCTACTATCATTTAGACAGGATTTTAGTAAGTTTGGGTTTAAAATATGAGGTGTGCTTTGAAGATCAAGGCCTGGGCCAGTTGGCTTAGAATAAGGTTCATCTGCAAACACAGAGATTCAGTAAACTGTCACTAGCCAAAGATAGATCTTGTCTTCATCTGCCTCAGCACCAGGAGAAAATTTATTTAAGGAGAAAGAAAACAAGAACAAGGAGTATTCTATAGCTTGTGTGTCTTGTAACTTGAGATGACATTTTCTGCATACTTGCTACTATGTAATATCCAGTAGAAGATATGGGATGCCCACATCTCAGTGGCTCAAATCACAAGCAAAAGGCAGTAATTGGATGTCCACACTGTCCATCATCTCAAGGACAACAGAGGCAGATGGGCCACCTCAGGTGCAGAAACCAGATATGGTGAAGGGACTTGAGAGGCTATGAACCATTCTTTATTGTGGAGGGGTGAGGTGGGGTGAGCAGCAAGGATGAGATTGGCAGATATTTCCCATTCTGCTTGCAGCCTTTCCCACCATGGGATTAGAAATTGGCATGGACCATATCTGAATGCTAGTAATTTTATCCATCAGAGCCTGATGAGAAGAAATGAGAGTCCTGGACCTTAACTAAGAAGTTCCACGGAAAAACAATATATGTAAAAATAAATAACACATGAGATAGGCACTCAAGAAATGTTTTCACTGATAATATGAATAATAATAGACAACATTTTGGTGGGAACTTACATGTGTCAAACACTTGGCTAACAATATACTCATGTGGTTCAAGCTCTGAAACTTATTTTTTTCCATAACTCATTTGGCAACAAGACCTGACTCTACCTGAATTTGTGTGATGCCAGAACTTGACCTGAACTGCTGTGCAGCTATTTCTTGTGTTTATTTATTCAACTTAGTGGAAATATTTCTATATTTTCCTGTAGAATTTTTGATGTGTTTGACTATGAGATGTTTCCCAAACTCTGTTATGGGGTATTGTTTAAGATATAATATATACTCCATATAATCTTTCCTTAAAAAATAAAAATTTCTTATTCCAGGGTACATCTGGTCTCAGAGGGTTTAGACAAGGGTTGTAGACCCTGCGTCTTTTCAACATCCTTTGATTTAGCAATATAAATTATCTTTATTAATTGAAGATAAATTGAGATTGAAGCACAGAGATTTTAAGTAGTTTCTCTAAGGTCACACAGTTGATACTGTTTGAAGCTACAACTTGATTTTAGTCAGTTTGCCACTAAGGTTATGGTCTTAAGTCACTGCTCTGTACTGCTTCTTATATAGATAATGATATATAATAGAGAAACAATGAAGTTTACTAGTAAGGTAACGGAAATGCCTACAAATAACAGTAAGAAAATACAGTATTGCGAACAAGCAAATATAGTTCCTGTCAGATATTTGACAACCAATCTAATGTGTTGACTAAGAGCTATAGGCACAAAAAAGCAATGCTGGATAGAAAAGGAGTGGGGCGAGAGTACCTTATCAGTGGCAGGGCTTGGGAAATTCAGGATGTCAAACAAGAAACAATGCCAAAGAGATATCTTTGGAATCTTTGTGTTAGAGCCTGGGAAAACCCCAAAGCAGCCACTGGGACGGGGATCATGGCAGTGGAAGTAGGAGAGCCACAGTCCTTGGGGGTCTCAAGAGATATTTGAGAATCTCTGCTTGCTCTGCCCTTCACTTAGAAGGGGATCTTCCACTTGAAGGAGCCTGTCACATTGGCAGTGTATGGGTCACAACCAGTTTGCTACTGGGGGCCCTTCCTCTTATTTTCTTCTGACTGGTAAACAGAGTTTGTGTTAAGGAGCGCTGTCAATGTAGAATGCTCCTCATTCCTTGCATATAAATACCATAATCTGTGAAGGCTGACACAGAGGTGACTGGGAGAAACAGAGAGAGTAAGAGCTTGCATGTTGTCTATATTTCATAGATAATATAAGACTATACCTAGAAAACCCCGTAGACTCTGACCAAAGGCTCCTAGAACTGATAAACAACTTCAGCAAAGTTTTGGGATACAAAATCAATTTGCAAAATCAGTAACATTTCTATACACCAATAACTTCCAAGCTGACAGCCAAATCAAGAATGCAATCCCATTCACAATAGCCACAAAAGGAATAAAATACCTAGGCATACAGCTAACCAGGGAGGTGAAAGACCTCTACAATGAGAATGACAAAACAGTATTCAAAGAAACCAGAGACAACACAAAGAAATGAAAAAGCATTCCATGTTCATGGATAGAAAGAATCGATATTGTTAAAATGGGCATACTGCCCAAAGCTATTTACAGATGCAATGCTATTCCTATCAAACTACCAGTGACATTTTCACAGAATTAGAAGAAAATATTCTAAAATTTATTCTGAACCAAAAAAGAGTCCTAATGGCCAAAGCAATCCTAAGCAAAAAGAACAAAGCTGAAGGTTTTACAACACCTGACTTCAAACTATACTACAAGGCTATAGCAACAAAAGCAGGTTGTTACATGGTACTACTACACACACAATCAGACAATATCGATCAATGGAACAGGTTAGAAAACTAGAAGTAAAGCTGCACACCTGCAACCATCTGATCTGCAACAAAACCAACAAAAACAAGCCCTGGAGAAAGGACTCCCTATAGAATAAATGCTGCTGGGATAACTGGCTAGCCATAGGCAGAAGATTGATACTGGATCCCTACTTTCCACCAGATACAAAAAATCAACTCAAAATAAATTAAAGACTTAAATGGAAAGCCTAAAATTAAAAAGGCCCTAGAAGAAAATCTGGGAAATACCATCCTAGACATCAGCCCAGGCAAAGACTTTATGACAAAAAAACTCTGAAAGCCATTGCAACAAAAACAAAAATTGGCAGGTGGGATCTAATTAAACTAAAGAGCTTCTGCACAGCAAAAGAAACTATGGAGAGAGTAAACAGACAACCTACAGACTGAGAGAAAATATTTGCAAACTATGACTCCAACAAAGGTCTAATATCCAGAATCTATAAGTAACTCAAATGAACAAGCAAAAACCAAAAAGCCCCATTAAAAAATGGGCAATTTTAAATAAACAGACACTCTCAAAATAAGACATACATGCAGCCAGTGAGCATGTGAGAAAATGCTCAATACCACTCATGATTAGGGATATGCAAATCAAAACCACAATGAGATATCATCTCACACCAGTCAGAATGGCTATTATTAAAAAGTTAAAAAAGAAAAGAAAAGCAGATGCTGGTGAGGTTGTAGAGAAAAAGGAACTTTATACACTGCTAGTGGGAATGAGTATTAGTTCAGCGACTGTGGAAAGCAGTCTGGAGATCCCTCAGACTTAACCCAGCAATCCCATTAATGGGTATATATATCCAAAGGAATATAAATTGTTCTACCATAAAGACACATGCACACATATGTTTGTCGCAGCACTATCCACAACAGCAAATACATGGAATCAACCTAGATGCCCATCAGTGGTGGACTGGATAAAGAAAATGTGGCACATATACACCATGGAATACTACGCAGTTATAACAAATGAGTTCATGGCCTTTGCAGCCACATGGATGGAGCTGGAGGCCATTATCCTAAGCAAACTAATGTAAGAACAGAAAACCACATGCTGCGTGTTTTCACTTACAAGTGGGAGCTAAACACTGAGTACACATGGACATAAAGAAGGGAACAATACACACTGGGGACTATTTGAAGGTAGCAAGTGGGAAGAGGGTGAAGATCAAAAAACTACCTATGACGTATTAGGCCGATTACCTGGGTGACAAAATTATCTATACACCAAACCCCCATGACACAGAATTAACCCATGTAACAAACCTACACATGAATGCCTTCAACCTAAAATAAAAGTTGGAAAGAAACAAAAAAATAAAAGAGAGGTTGAATGAGTCAAAGAGATGTTATTTAAAACAGTGGAGAAGTAAAGGGCTCTTTGCAACATAATTGATGAACGCGAAAGTCGCCAAAAGCGTATGAAAGCAGACACGGAGGCCAAGAAGGGGGAAAGCTGATAAAAGAGATGCTAATGGCAATGAGAGAAATGAGTGTTCCAGAGAGTTGTTATATTGTGCTGTGTTGTAAAGCTGGAAAGGCTAAGGTGAAATGACCCTACCAGTAAGAAGAGAATAATTGAGTTTGCTAGTGTCTGAGCTAAATGCTGGCCAAGTAGAATGAACTTTTTAATGCACCTTCTGGAGTGATTTTCACATTTTTTGGGGACTCTCAGGCCTTGGCTATGAAATAAGGAAGGTGATTTGTTAAAACTAAATAAAGTTGGTTATTGTGGTACATAATGTTTTATTTTCCAGCATGTTTTTACAAAGCAATGGTGTTAGAAGATAACCCTCAGATTATGAGGGTGGTGATATATTATTTGGGCAGTGATGTATTGTTGTAGTCACATTGGTCCACTGAAATATAAAACCATTTTGTCCAGAGATCAAGAGGTGATGTTAAACCAAGCTTGCTTAACCTTGAGGTAATGTTGGAGTTAATTTATATGTGGACCACAGGTGATTTGCATCATAAACTAAAATATAATTTCGAAAAGATTTAAACTCTCCATAATCTCTACACATATAAAATGACCCTTCTCCTAAGAACTCTGATGAGTTTCTAACAGCAAGTTCTTACAAGGCTTACAAATCAGCTAAATGAACTTTTTAAATCACTATAAAAATGAAGCATACCTGCAGCAATCAGAATGCCAATTATTTGATCTAAAATTTCTTTCAGATACGTTACATTATAAACTATCAAAACCCAGACTAGAACTGATTATAGCATAGTATAGCATTCATGGATCTCTCATCAATGGCCAGCAAACATTACTGAACAGTCAAAACATATAGTTTCATAGTCTACCACATGTCAGAAGTTTTGAGAAGACAACGGTGATATGATTTCAGTGTTTTCAGAAAAACTCTGAGGATTCATTTTATATCAGAAACCCATTGAATTATGTTGCAAAAAGAAACCTGTATTCTTCTTGTTCTGTGGTAGAAGGCAAAGAATAGAGGAAAAAATATGTGGCATAAGACTTCTTTTAAAAATAAGTACTTCAATATGATTATCTAATTTAATGTTTTGTCTGCTCAGCATGGATTTTTCCTTTTTATGACATTACTGTTCTATTTTTCTTTACAAAAACAATTTTGGTAAATCTGGCTCCAAACCATCTTGCTCTGAGGGATGGAAAGTAACCTATATCCAAACAGATTTGTAATGAGTTCAGGGACAGGCATGTGACTCTACCTGAACTAGGGTACAGTGAGTTAATCCCAATCCTCTTTTAATTTTTAATTTTTTTAGAGATGAACGTTTCACCATGTTGCAACCAGCTTGGTCATAAACTTCCAGGCTGAAGGGTTCCTCAAGCCTCAGCCTCCCAAGTAGCTGAAACTACAGGCACACACCACTGCATCCAGCTAAGCCCAAGATTCTTTCAGAAATCTTTCAGAAAGACAAGTGAAATTGCTAAGTCAAGACCTGCCACGGGTCTCTGTATAGTGAGAGCTCACCTAAGAATTGAGCCAACACAGAATAAAAGAGCTAAGAGGTGTATAGAGAGAGGGGGTAGTAGAGACAGGGGAAGGCTGATGAAGTACTGATGACATTCTTGGGATATAGATCCTCCTGAAGCTCTCTCTCTTACTCCTGGATTTTTCTATTGTGTGAGCTAATAATAACCCTTTTGTATGTATGTATTGTTATTTTTGTAAGTACGTTTATAATGGGAAATATGTCACTTAAAACTTAAAGATTTCAGTTTACAGAAATTGATACTTGAAGGTGGGATAAATTATAAAATTTTGAATTGACTGAGTCAAAGTGAAATATGAGAAAGGTACAATTTGTCTATCCCAGGGAGATCACTGACATTACCTATAATGCAACAAAAAAGTAGTGTATACTTTGTTATATTTTAGGACTCTGGTGATGTACCCACTGTAACTGGAATTTTAGGTTAGTAGGTATAAAAATGTCAGTAAGACAGCTAGCTACATCTTTTATCCTACATCCTTAAAGAGAGACCAAGAGTGTGTTTCCAAATCTCACACATCTGAAAGCAGAAATGAGGGGAAAATACGTTATTTTTAATTTTCTTTTCATTTAGTCATTTGTTTGTTTGTTTGTTGCTATGAAGCTACAATTATCAAGACAGAAAGATACTGGTAGAATAATAGACTAATAGGTTAATGGAAGGGAAAAGAAAGTGCAGAAATAGATTCTGCTTTCCCTCAAAGTCACACCCAGGCCATTCAGTGGAGATGGTAAGTCTTTCACCAAATAGTCTGGAAAACTTGGATAAACATATGAAAAAAAATAGCAATTTCAACCACTATCTCCCAATAGTAAAAATGTAATTTAAGACAACTGCAGACCTAAACATAAACTTATACTACAACATTTCTAGAAAACAACACAGACAAATATTTCTGTAAACTTGAGTTAGGCAAGGATTTCTGAGAAAAGACCAAAAAGAAAAAAGAAAGCACTAACCACAAAAGATGAAGAAATAATGCATTATATTTCATCTAAATTAATAAAAACATCATCAAAAGACACCATGAGAAAACAAAAAGGCTAGAATTGTATTTATAATACATATATTTGACAATAGATTTGCATCTAGGATATCTAAACTACTGCAACTTAGTAATTTAAAAAAAAAACCACAACAGTTAAAAATGGGTAGAACATGGAAAGACACTTCACAAAAGAAAAAATTCTAGTAGCTAATAAGCATATTAAAAGATAGCCAATATCGTTGGTCATCAAGGAATTGCCGACTGAAACCACATCACGCCAAGCAGAACACAATGGAAAGAACTGATAATACCAAATGTTGTCAAGGATGTGGAACAACTGGAACACTCACACATAGCTGGTGAGAGTGTAAAATAGTATAATCACTTTAGAAAACTCCTGGACATTCTTATGAAGCCAAACATTTGCTTGCCCTATGGCTCAGAAATTTCCCCCTTCAATATTTACCAAATAAAGAGGAAAATATATTTTTAAACACAAGACATTGCACATGAAATTTTAGAGCAAGTTTATTCAAAGGTAGCCTCAAACAGGAAACAGCCTAAATGCCCCTCAGCAGATATATGGAAAAATAATGTGTAGTCGTAACACTAGAATACTTTTCAACAGTAATAATAATACAATACAGAATTACTGATGTATGTAATAGTAGTAAATTACTCTCAAAGATATTATGTTAAACAAACAATAAAATCCAGACACAAAATATTATCTACTGTGTATTCCCATTTATATGAAGTTCAGGAAAAGGTTGTTTCTATGAATCATGTACCTCATAGCACTTAGCTTAACCCTAACTCTAATCCTAATAATGTTACTTCCATTTCAGGTTCAATTGCATTCAGGGACTTTCCTCTGCTTACTCAAATTAAAGTCTCCCTCCTGCTTCAATTCCACTCACTTCCCCATATGTCATGTCCTGGGGGAAAGGAGAAAAGGAAACAGGAAGCAATGGTTTGTATACCCTATATGATGGAGTTTGTAAGATGGGCAGCAATGGACAGGCTTCACCCTACATTAAGTAGACATGTTTTATAGGGGGTGTGAGCAGCAGTAAATCCTTACACCTTTACTATTTCTGACCTAGATAAATTGGCAGGAGTAGAAAGCAATAAAACTACTATGGTGATAAAACCAGAACAGTGGTTGCCTATGTTAGGTAGGGACTAACTTGAGAAGGGTTCAAGGTAATTTTCTGGGGTTATACAAAGGTTCTAGACTTTGACTAGGGTTTTGGATATGTAAGTGTATATATTTTCAAAACTTACTGAATTATAAACCTAAGATTTTTGAGTTTCCTTATATCTAATCTTTTCTTCACTAAAAAATGAAAACTGTTATGATTAACAATACAACCTTCCTTCCTTCCTTCCTTCCTTCCTTCCTTCCTTCCTTCCTTCCTCCCTCCCTCCCTCCCTTCTTCCTTCCTTCTTTTTTCTTTTCTTTCTTTTCAGAGGTGATCTCACTCTGTTGCCCTGGCTAAAGTGAAGTGGCACAATCATAGCTCACTATAACCCTGAATTTCTGGGCTCAAGCAATCTTCCCACTTCAGCCAAAGCACTGGGATTGCAAGTGTGAGCCACTGCGCCTGGCCATTAACAATATTTTTTCTCAGTGTAGGAAACAACAAGCAAACATAAGATCTTAAGACCATAGGTGGCTGTTTGTGGCCAGTAATCTGTGATTCCTGAAAATCAGGTAATCTTCAGTTTTATTGGATTGGAAACGTTGAATTATTTGTGAATAATATAGTTAGTTCTGGGAGAAAGCAGCGTATCAGGCTGAAATGAAGGAAAGCGGAGCTCGGATCTCCATCCTCACCCTTCCGGAAAATTCCTACTAGAGAAGTTGGTGAAGCACCACATTTAAATTTCTGAAATGGAAAGGCTTTCAACCTAACATCTCTATTCAGCACAATGATTAATAAAGCAAATGGCTGGAATAGAAACATTTTCTGACATGGAAGAAATGAGAATTTAACTCTGAAGAGCCCCTTCTTAGGAAGCTCTTTGAGGATGTGCTTCAGGCAAATGATATGCTTAGGAACACACAGGATCCCACCTGACCCCACACAGGATCAAGAAAAGAATACAAGAAAAGTCTCAGGATGGCCATTGTGTATACCAGGAGCAGAAGGCATCCAGTTTCAACTGAGCAGGAAGGAGGGTTGTGGGAGAGGATTCTCCAAAAGCAAAACAAGTGTGTACTGGGGGGGGTGGGGTTAAAGGAGGGGTTGGGTCATGAGATGACATCAGAAAGAATGTTTCTTATGTCAGACAACCGTGCAGGTTGCAGATTACCGCAGACCCTTCAAAAAAGCCTTTAATGTGATTCCCAAGAGGATCAGCCTGTGAATATCTGCCACACAGAAGACAGCAGTGGCTGGATTACAAAAGCACCAATGATATAAGACATTTGTTACGTTTCCCCTAAACATCTCACCCCTTTGCAGGACCCAGGAAGTATGGGAGTGGTAGGAGAGTTGAAGGAAAAGGGAAAGGACAGAGTCTATTGTAAGTCTCTGAGTCTAACCTGAGACAGCCTGAGCTTGTTCAGGAGGGAAACTGGGAATTCCAAATGATTCAGGTTTAAATTGGAGTAGTCTGGACATAATACCTAAAGATAGTCACAGTTAACTTTTTCTTCTACATGAAAGTAACTGGAAAGGGATGGGGGAAGGAGAGTTGACAGAGCAGAGGTTTAAACACAGTGATTAGAGAACAAATCCCCTCTACTCGCCCTCGTTTCTACCCACTGAGTTCGAACTATTCAACAATCTACTTACAGTCTCTGCCACCTGCCTGTTCTGATGATCAAAGAATAAGCATTTTTTTCTTCTGTTACAACCACCTGTGTTTCATTCCTGGTCACCAAATGGAGGTACACCACAGCATCTGATTCAACATATTGGTTGTTTACATCATGATGCCTCTGTAAATATTGTTCTTGTGTGAATCTACATAGACCAATATGATTACACTCTCAATCTGATAAAGCTTTGCACTTTCCTTTAGTTATATTTTGCCTTAACTTTTCAAGATTCAAATGAGAAATCAGCAACTATGTTTTTAGCACAATAAAGACTCTTTATAATTTGTTAAAATACCTAAGTATATATTAACTTACTTGTGTTTATTTGTATTATTTGCCTGTGTTTGAAATTATGGTGTTGTATATTCTGAGGATACTGTAGTGTTTGGATTTGGATTTTTTTTTAACTTCTGCATATTTTTGTTGGTTTATTGCGTGAAATAGAGTGAGTCTGCTTACGTAGACTATACTGTAGCCATGTTTAACCAGTTCTGTGTCTACTTACATTCTGTGGCCAGAAAAACAGACAGACAGATGGATGATAGGTAAGTAGGTAAAGATATGTGGGTAGATAGATATAAATATTTACATGTAACAATAAACATAAGTATTTCCTATATATGTAATATAAATTGTATAAAATTGAGGCAAGTTACTTCATAGTATTGTGAAGATTTATTGAAATAATTTACATAACAATATTGCCTATCGAACAAGTGCTTGCAAATATTGCTTATTATTTTCAGAATAATTATGCAAAGTTATTCTCTCATCCTATAGCACATTAAGAAATATGGACACATTCCAATTATAAAAAAGTGGAAAGCAAAGTATTGGGATTTAGAAGAACTCATTTTCAGTCCTGCCTTCTGCAACAAGCTAAATTTGTGACTCTTACCAAAATGTCCCAGTTCTATGGGCCGTAATTTCTTCATCTATAAAATTAAAGGGCTAATATACACTTTCTCTCTAATGTTTACTTCAGCCTTAAACGTCCATGATTATATTACTTTAATAAGTTTTCAGTTAGAGAAGTTTTGTAAAACCAAACTAATTAAAAGGGAAATTTGGAAACAAAGACTAAGTTAAAGCAATGTATTTTTTCATGGCCATATATGCAATAGACTTGGCAGAACAGATTAAACAATAGTTTGGAGTTGTTACATTTAACAAGTATTTACTGAACATTTACTATAAGCAAGATTATGTAGCAAAAGACTAGACTCAGAACTGGGACACAAAGGGATTTCTGCAAATTTGGGGGACCATATCTCCAGTAAGATAAGAGTCTATATTTATTAATAATTTCTCTGTAAAGCTATAGCCACAGCACAACACCTTCTCTGCACAGCTCAAGCACTTTATTTGTATAGCCCTCGTACCTTGAACTCACACTGCTATAGGAACTAAGTGCTACTCGGGAATATGTTTTTCTCCCTGGTAACATTTGGAGCCAAGTCCATCTATCAATGGCTGACTCTGTGGCAGCTGAAAAACCACTTTGGGAACCCTGCCAGCTCCTGCTTCTGGGCTGATTTCTAATAGATGTCCTATCTTTGTGAATCCCCAACTCTTTACTTCAGCTGCTGTCCTCTCCACTAACAAAAGGAGCCTCCCAGCTATTCAATATACGCGTGGAAAGCCAGGTAGCCCAGTAGATGGAAGCACATCTGGATTAGCATTGCTTTTTCCCACTGACATGCACACATGTCGTACCTCATTGCAGCTTGCTCGCTCTGCTTCAGAGCTGCTTGTTAAGGGGCAGGCAGTTTGATAGGTTTAATACAATGACTTTGGGTCATAGAACCACAGAAGTGACATTAAAGCATTAGGATGGATGTAAGATGTCACAATTCAAACACTTCACAATTGACCACACACAAAAAATTTACCTGGGATAACAGAAGTATTCAAGTGAAGAGACTGAAGCATTCAGGAGCAAGCCACATCTGCTCCCTTTGGAATTATATGACACCTTCTGATGAGGATGTGACTTCAGATTCCCATTTTTAGGGAGGTTTCATTAACACCACCAAATGTGGGCCAAAAGTTAAAATAAGACATGTTTATTTCATACGGCACATAATTTCATCTGGTAAATGCTGTGTTCTCCCACAGCTTGACAATAAGTACAAAGCTAAATAAAAATGGTAATTATTTTGCAAGCTTTCCTCCAGCTTCCAAAAAAATGAAAAAAGATACCTTGGGACTTATTTTCGAGATACAGATTCTTGAAATTCTTTATTCTTTTATCAGCTCTGTTGCCCAAGGGGAAATCTGTACAACAGGCATCATATGTCTTTAATAATGAAGCAAACTACTGTAGCTCAAATCTTTCGAGCAGCTAAGAAACTCAATTGTGTGTAGGAAATGCCGGAAGAGTTTGTTGTACTAGAGCTATAAATTCAGCAACATTCAGGGGGTAGGCTCATTTCAATTGAAGGCAGCAAGACAAAACTGATGAAAACATTTTAAAGGATGTTCCACATGGAATGAGTCTGAGGGAGATTTCCCATGAAGCAAACACCTTCCTTATAAACCAGGGATTCTAGGACTCTTCCACTCCCTTTTTTTCATTTGTTTGTTTAAAGGTTCAAACTCCATAGGACTTCTTAAAACCATTAAAGTTTCATCCTTCTTGAAAAAGGGAAAGGATATATATTTTAAGTGTCCTATAAAATTTCTTCAACTGATAGGTTTCCCCTATGATCTAATTTACAAATCTGCATTTCAGATTGAAATTGCCGAATTGCAGTTAGCAACGGGACAAGATGCTCTTTCTAATGACACTTTGTTACATGAGACAGCACATTATATGCCTTCCTGGTGAAGAACAATGGAAGACACATGGAAGATAATGATAAAAATAATTGTATTTAAAGCATTTTGTATACATTTTAGCCATCATTTCCATATGATCTTCTAGGATCTTCAAGTTGATGTTCTGTTAAGTACTATCCTTTAAGATTTAAACTAACATCAATCCAAAAATGTCAATTCAAGGTACTACACATTCTAAGTCATTTTTCTTTAAAAACATCCATTCAGCAGAAAAATGTGTAATTTTAATGAAAGAAAAGGAGCTGGTTTACTTAGATATTTTTATATGGGAGACCTGGGCACTATGGAAAGCATCGTACTGAAAATAGACCAGCTTTGTCCTTAGCTAGGTCAACTAGGGAACAGCATTGAAACTACTTGGGTGCCTTCGGTAAATTGAAAGATCATGTGAGATCTTAGCTAATGTGCTTTCTAGCTTTAAGACTCATCATGGGTCTAAAATTTACATGTCACTTGACAACAAGCCTAATTCAGGGCAAAATCCGAATGAATTCAATGTAAATACTGCTCAAAAAAAACCCTTATTTTGAGAGATTAATCAGATTTAAGATTCTGTTTACAAGTGACCTCTTTTATAACTTACAAATGGGAAGACTCTATCTGTCCTAAAGTATCTGGACAGCCCAATTGAAATAACTCAAAGTTCCTGTTTCAGAACTTAGTATATTAGACAAATATCCTTACTAAAAACTTTTTTAGATACAGTTCTAAAAAGCATGCTTATTTGACTTTCTAATCTAGAATAATTTAGAAGCAGAAAATTAGAAGGGGGCATGACCATATTGGCAGGCCATCAAAGAACAGCAAGAAATGACAGCTAACAGCCTGACAGAAAGGGGCATGTCAGAGGAACCATAATATACACAAAATCATTTTAAAAGTAAGGACAACAAACTGACCCAGATATTTAAAAAGCATGGCCTTTGGGACAAATGTCTCCTGGAATAATTACTTTACTATACACTGTACAATTGATATGCACAGTGACGACCGAGTTGTCAGAAAAGCATTAAGTTATGCACCCTGCTCCAATAAGGCAGGAAGTACTGAACAGGTCAGAGAAATAGTCTTATCAAAATACTTAGCTTACTTTTTATAAGCATCAGTAATTCAAGTGGTTTATTTTGTGGAAAATCTCATTCCCAATGATGTAAGACCACTAAGAACCAACTATGTTTACAGGAGAATATAAGATACTTAATATTCCTGCCAGATGCTGACTCATAGCTCAGGAAATAAAAGGAAAAACAGATGATTTATTTGTAAACTAAAAAGTGAAATATAGCTACGAAGTCTTCATAATTATAAGATTTGGTATCTTCAAAATATTTCTTTGAATATCTGAAAATTGATTTTTCACTCCTCTTTGGTCGATCACTTACGTTGTTTCCAACAGTATCCTAACTGAAACTATGTATCTCAGGATACTTTGTAGACTAAATACAGAAGAAAAGGCCCGAGATAAATCAGAAGGACATGTGTTTGTTTAGGTAGCTGTCCAAAGGAAGGACAAGCTTCCATTCTCTTAACACAGTGGTGCTGGCTTTGTTTCTCTGTAACTCCTCAGCTGTGCCAGGCCAGGGGCATTGGTTTAATCTCAGGAATGGCTCCCTTCATGGTTGCAAAATGCTTTTAGCAGTTCCAGCTTCCCATGTCCACAAACCAAGATGCGTCGCAGAGCAGAGAACATTTTCTTTTCTTAATTCTCTCTCATAGAGCCTCAGAAGACCTCTTTTCTGTTATCCTCAAAAAGACTCCCTCCAATTTCACTCTCATGAATTACATTAATCCATGTACCTGAGGCCTGTGGCCAGCAGAATGTCACTCAGTAATTGGCTTAGGTCTGGATCATTGATGTAATCACCGTGCCATGTGGCATGAGATTTGCCTGAGACATTCAATCCCACTTTTGAGGCTGTGGTAGGGGAGGTGACCCTGGAGGAGTCAACATCTGTATAAAAATTGGGTTTTTATGAATTTGAGGGGAATTCTAGGTAGCAACAATCATTGATTGCTGCAATAAAATAGACATTGTATGTATAGAATTTTCCCTTTCCTTTTGATTTTTTTCTTTGGTATGGTGTGCCTTACATAAGAAAAAATATTTTTGATTTAATAATGGAAACTTCTTGGGTCACAATGACTGGAATCCATTTAAATTGTTTAAGCAAATGAGGAGACACTGGAGTATAATTAAGATACATTGTCTTGTTTTCCAGAACAGTATACTTTCCCTTTTTCTAGGGAAAGTTTAATGGGAGCAGCCTTATTTCGTTTTTACATGCACTCACACTTTTCTGGTAACAAGAACTGGTTGAAGGATGAACAGCTGATTCAAGCTCAGCCAATCATAGTTCCTTCTGTCCCTGCCTGGATTGTAATTGAGGGGATATACACATGGTTCAAGCCAGTTCTGGCTGCCTTCCAAAGAGTTTTATAAGTAGGAATTATGAAACTTGAGGGAGGGTGATTGAAAGCCCATTTTTTTGTATCTTGAAAAACTGTGCATGTCCAGAGCTGCTAGTGGTCATTGCTCCGGCCTTGTGGAGAAAGCAGGTTTCAGAGAATAAAGCCAGAACTCAAAGATCAGCAGCAGAAAGAGGTAGAACAAAAGAATCCTGGAGACATCGCAGCACCTGATTCTAGTTGTTCCAGCAGCATTCTTAGCCTTCCAGTTTATTTGGGTAGGCAGTTTCCAGAATAATCTTTTTCCTTTGTTTCTTCTATAGATTGGCTACATATTGCTAATTTTCTTTTCCAAAATATGGAACTAATTTACACCATTACTGACATATTTCATGATAAGTCAGCATGGGTTTATTATTTAAAAGATTATATACTGGATACTTTTTTGAATGCAAATATTACAGAAAAGTAGTAGTTGTGAAGGAAATCTCCTGTAGCAGAAGATACATAGCCTTTGGGGTCAGGCAAGCCTGAATCCAAAAATCTTGTCCTCCTGTTTGCTAACCACATAATTTGTGGACAGTTTACTTGAGCTTCAATCACTTCCATTACAAAAATACACATATCAGTGCCTAGCCAGCATCCAGTTAAAAGCCCAGCATTTAATTAGTATCTCTTCCTTTTTTCCTGGAAGGTAGAGATCTGTTTTATTACTAATTTAACCACAGATTGTTTTATCTAGGGAGTTCATGTTACCCACCTTTCTGCACGTCATCTTAATTTTTACCTGAGAGATTTAAAAATCTCTGTAAAACCTATTCTTTAATAATGTTTAATATCTCAAGATTTTTTAAACACTGTTATATCTTAAATTAAAAGTGAATAATTTGGCCAGGCTCCTGTAATCCCACACCTATAATCCCAGCACTTTGGGAGGCCAGTGTGGGATGATCGCTTGAAGCCAGGAGTTTGAGACCAGTCTGGGCAACATAGTGAGACTTCATCTCTACAAAAAAATTTTAAAAATTAGCTGAGCATGATGGTGGGCACCTATAGTCCCAGCTACTTGGGAGGCTGAGGTAGGAGGATCACTTGAGGCTACAGTGAGCTATGATCACGCCACTGCACTCTAGCCAAAGTGACAGAACAAGACTGTCTCAAAAAAAATTTTTTAAGTGAACAATTTGTAACAATGCAAAAGAAGTAGCTCTGACCTTTAAACTTACCATTTAGAGAATAATAGTACTTTTTGTTATTATTCCATTGCTCTTTGAACGATTCATGAGTTAGACTTTTTTTGGTTAGTGGCATTAAGCCAAGTACAAGGTGACAAAACTGACTGAGGCTTTGGTATTTCCAAGAAAGCCATTCCCAATAGTCAACCAGAAAAAAACCTCAGAGATAGGCTCTCCAGAACAAATTAGCTTATTTGGGAATAGCAGAGGGTTGCAATCCAGGATTTCATACTGTAACTGAACATAGGCATATTCAAGGGAATAGGGGCAAAAGGAAGATTTGTAAAGCCAAAAAGAATAAATGCACTTAAGTTGCTTTAAAACAAAGTTCATAGGTCACAGAAGTCATTGCAGGTATTGGCATTTGGTCAAAGGTGCACCCAGTCATTGCTAGTTAAGTGACGCTGTGCAGGTGGCTTATCTGGAATATTGCAGTCTTGAGGAAGTTCTTGTGGTAAGTGCTGCTACTGGTCCGCATGCAGAAATGTCTTGTGAAGAGTCCTGTTATAGGCATATATGCATGAAAACTCCCTGCCATGGCCTCTCAACTCCATTTTGTTAGAATTTGAAATAAGCGACTCCATTTTGGCACCAGCAACTTTCATGTCATCTTTATATTCTCTTTGCTTTGTTCAGTAACACTTTGTTGCAATAAATTTATATCTTTGGAGATTTAAAGGTATACTTAGAATAATGGAAAATCTACCTGTGTGAAATCATTGGCTTTGTGAGGCTGCCAATTATATACTAACAATGTATGCAACCATATAAATGTCATGTGTTAATGAACTTTTATAGCAAAATCATGACTCTGTATGATTTATCAGAATTCCTATATTGATAGCTATGTCTTTGTAGACTTTTTCAACTTAATTTGCAAGCTGTGTAGGAAATATTCATTAGTATATATTCTTGCAGTTTGAATTATTTTTAAGGGTTTAATGAATCATTTCAGCAAGTTCACTTTAATTCAAAGAGAATACTTTATTGCTTAGCCTTAAATTTTAAATTTATATGTATGCTCACTTCAGAAAAGCACCTTAATTATTTAAAGCTTTTCTTAACATATGCAGATATAAAACAATAGTTTTTTGAAAGTCGAAACATTTTTACATCAGAAGAGACTAGAAGAAATGGATAAGAGTAGAAACACTGCTGTTTTTCATTTCCTTAACATGGATTTGTCAGCTAAAGGTTACTTTTCAGGTCAGGAAAACTTGTATGCTAATCCCTTCTGATGAGAGAATGAAGGAACCATGTTGGGACTTTGGCTTTTTTAAGTAAAAGAATATTGTAATATTCAGAATGGTAGAGACATGTGTAAATATAATCTTACATTCAATTTAAAATTCTTTTCTTACTTTTATATTTTGGGGAGGTATAAATATCTATAACCCACAAATATATACACACATACATCTTTAAACTTATCCTTATTTTTTTCATTTACCAAATTTTTCTGAACAAGGAGTAAAGTTTTCAAATTTCAAATCTCTTTGTAATTATTGCACCATGACACTTAATCCAGAAAGCCTCTAGACACTTTTATTCTAGGAGGAAAAGGATCAGATATTGCATAAGGCTAGAGTTGTACTCAAGAAACTTGAGAAGTAAAAGGTATTAGAGGAAATTGGAAAAGAGCAGAATGTTGAGTGTTAATTTACAGTAAAATAAGCAATTTGATTTCTCTTTCATTTAATCCTTATTCTTCCCTAGGAACACACACACACACACACACACACACACACACACACTTATACACATGAACATGAACACGCAGAAATCACTGTAATTATAGAAACCTTAGCCAGTTGGCAGTTTGCTGCTCTTTTTCAGTGGGCAGAGATAACAAAAGTGAAAGACATTTGTCTTTATTTTTTGCTCTAGACCTGTTCTTGAATTTGAGGAACCCGCTGAGGTTAACAATCATGGATATTCTCATACTATATATGAAATAGGTAAGGAGGAATGGTAGATTATGGCACACATTCAGGATGGGAGTTTTGTTTTGTTGGTATGAGGGGAGGTTTGTGAGGAAGTTAAATATTAAAGTAGTTATGAGTGTTTTTGGTAAAGGCAAAAGCAACTGGTAGTCACTGAGAAATTATTAGCATCAGGAGGAATATAGGTGTGAGTGAGACTGAAAGAATGAGAGACTGTGATCATACAGGGGTATATGGGATTTCAAGATTTCCGAGGGGTAGCAGCAGCTCCTCTTCCCAGATCTCAGTATACAGAGGAAGCAATGACTATGGTATCTACGCTTCAACACTTTTTGAGAGTAATAGAAGATTAGAAAATGACAGCTATGAGGAGGGGTGAGATATGGTATGAAACTCAAAGAAGTAAGGGGTTTTGCGCAAGGGTGAAAGAATAAATGTTGGGAAACTGCCATGCTTTCTATCATAATGAAAAAGATTTAATCTCTGTTTTGCAGTCATGAAGGGCATTCTGTAAAGCATAATGGGTATGCATTCTGTTGTCTCAGAATAGTGTCAGGTGAGGCCACTTTCCTGTTATTTGCTAGCCTCCTACATGCTGGCTTGACGTTGATACATTACTTTTTAATGAATAAATTCTTTGAACAGTCAAGGTGGCAAAGCAAAATAAACACACTGAGCATTTTATTACTCATTAGAGATATTTGGTCATTTGTAAGGTTGGCATATGGCTGTGTTTTCACTTCCATTTTCTTCAGCTAAGTCATAATGCTCAATTGTGTCTTCCTTCAAAATGTCTCTTATATTTATACATTCCTCTCCATTCTTTTTCTCAGGAGTAGTCCAGTTGGAAATCTGAAACTATTTTCTCCAACTCTCACCTTTCTTCTCTTTCAATCATTTTAATGCATCAGTATGATTAATCTTTGCAGACGGATGATGTCATGATCTAATTTTATTGCTCAAGAACATACACAGTATTGATTCTCCACTGGGTACAATATTCAGTTCTATTAAGGCCCTCATAAATCTATGTCTTCAGCCTTGTTCCCCCCGACACCCCACCAAGCATGGTCTACTTTACTTTGGCTGTTGCTTTCTATGTCCTGTGCCATAAAATGTTTACACTCTCATTTGTGCCTTTCCTGATCCTATTTCATCTCCTTCAATTCACCTTGCTTTTCCCATCAAGGAATTCAAATTCTGCTCTATTTTGTGGCCAAATTATTGGCCTGTCTAAAAAAATTCATTTGTAATATTCCCTCCTACCATAACCTTGTCTCAATTTTATGCATATAACTATTTCCTTGTTTTGTGTCTCCAAATAGGTTTTACACTATGTGAGGGAAAGTGCCATCTTGAATGGCACAATCTTGTCTCCTGCCATTGTGCTTAGGAACATGATATTGGTGATATATTGGCAATCATAGGTAGCCATCATTGTGTTCTCAGTATGCCATTAAAAACATAACATACTTCTTGACTGATTGCCTTGATATTTTTCAATGAGTTTTATCAAATGTCGACTGCTTAGTATGACATTTTTATGTTGCTTGATCATTTTCCATATCAGGATTTGCCAAACACTACTGCCTCTTCTGAATTAGTCACCTGCTAAAATAAGCTCATAAGAAAGCCATCACTAAAATTATCAAAGCCAAAGCACAAATGGACTTTGATTACAGGTGGATGTTAACATTCAGATAAAAAGTTTTGACTATTCAATTTGTAAGTCTCTATTAAAAGACACTCCAACGACCTCAGCCTTAAGCTTCAGGAAAGCCAATTCAATTTGTAGTTTCATAACCTAAGAAGCCAACACTAGGCTACTCAGTTCTGTGGTAGAAAGTAATATTCAGAATCATCTGAAGGTCAATCATGAGTAAAAACTCCAGTTCAATAAAAGAAATAAAAAATGAATAATTTTAAAGCGATGCATAACATAGCATTTCGCTGCAGTTAATTCTATTTTCCACCTCTTTACTATAAGACAGTCCAAACATGAGAAATTATAATTCTCTTTAAACCCTGGAGAACATTTTTATGAAGAATTAAGTGTGAAAGTGACTTAGGTTCAAAAGTAATGAAATTATTCCTATGCCGCAAACTTATATTGAAGAAAATTCAGACAAACTAAATTTCTACAGTCAGGGGAAGGGAAGTCAGGCTACATGTTTTAAGGTAGAAGACAACCCTGATTAAGTTTTGTGTGGCTTTTGCTCTGGCTGTTGCCATTGTTTTTCTCCATTGTGTTCCACAAGTTAAAGTAATCTGAATAAGCATTCTTGTGTCCTCACCTGCAACATGAAATAGTTAAATCTGATCAGCTCTTCTACAATGAGCCACTACATAACAAAAATTTGATTATCATTTCAGTATGTTGGAGTTAGTGAACTGCCTTGCATGAATCTTTTGTAAAACAGGCAAGTAAAATACCAAGGGGTAAACGATATGTTTGGGTACAAATTCTTCTATGGGAAAAATTATTTGTCACACTAGAAATTAATTGAGCATATTCTCTGTACAACCATGTGGCACTGATATGGTTTGGCTCTGTGTCCCCACCCAAACCTCATCTCAAATTGTAATCCCCATGTGTCAGTGAGGGAGGTGACTGGATCATGGGGGTGGTCTCTCCATGCTGTTCTCGTGATAATGAGTCAGTTCTCATGACATCTGATGGTTTTATAAGCATCTGGCGTTTTTCCTGCTTGTACTTCTCTCTCCTGCCACCACGCAAAGAAAGTCCTTCCTTCCCCTTCGCCTTCTGCCATGATTGTAAGTTTCCTGAGGCCTTCCCAGCCATGTGAAACTGAGTCAATTAAATTTCTTTTCTTTATAAATTACCCAGTCTTGGGTATTTATTTATAGCAGTTGAAAATGGACTAATACAGATATACTGCTTTGTGGTTTGAAAACAATGAAAGCAAGCCATGAAATACAAGGACTTGAGCGCTAAAGAAGCAAGACACACAAACATGAAATAATCACAACAGTGAAACAACATTGCATAAAGATAAGTCACTGGGAAATGTAACATGCTATGAGTTCATGAGTACAGGAAATCTGTGGGTCAAAAGATAAAATTCATTTCAGCTATTGTGTTGAAACATAGTATCTGTCTATGTGCTTGATGCTTATCTTATCTCCTTTGAGGGAATTTAAAGTGGGCTTTGAGCAGGAAGACTTTTCGCACAAAAGGAGTAATCAAAATCTGAGGTCTGTAAGAGGGAGAACAGAAACATAAATAGGCTAGGCAGAGAAAAGAAAAGTTTGGAAATCAGGGGAGTATGGAAATTCATCAGGAGGCGAATGCAAAAACTGCCAATTCCTTCAGTGAAGCCAAATGATTGTCCTCCTGAGGCCCCTTCACCAGCTCATCAACTTTGCTGTTTAAAGATATATTCCTGGATTTCAAATGCAGCATAGACTGAGTGTCCTTTCCTTGGAGCTTTATTCAGCACACAACTAGCAACTGACACATCCAAGGCAGCTTCTAACCAAAGTTTTGACTACTTGTGAATTGCTGGGTAACCCAGTGGTGAACATGGGAGAGGTTTAGGGTTGCACCTAAATAGATTTACTGTGTGTGCATATTCACATATAATTTTATTTATTGCCCTTCACTTAAGCCATTTCTTTTTTATGCCAAGTCTCTTGGTCCACGGCCTTAGCATGGCCATCTTTTCTTCTCCCATTTTCACTGTCATTTCACTGTGCTGTGAAAAGGATTTCTCTACCCACACACAAAATACATTCTGGGAACAGAGTCGTTAAATATGAAAGTCACTGTTGTATCGGCTTCAGCAATTATATGAGGTCCTTAGGTGGACCATGACTTTATTTCCACTTTTCTTGAATATATTAAGCTTCTAGTTCTTTTAATTCTGATTTTAAATAATTTTTTTGGTCAATCTCCAGTTTAGGACTGTGATGTTTTAAAAGAATTAATTTTTCTTTATATTCCTTGGCTCAGAGCTTAATTCAAGTTAGGTTTCTTCTTTTAATCAAATATTTTCTTTTTTCTAGGCAGTTCCAAAGCAAGAATTGTACCTTAGCTGATAGAACTGACGTGTGAGCATCCACACCAAACTCACACAGTGAACAAATAAGACTCAGACCCAGTTCATCGTTTATTAAGAACCATATGCCCAAATGGAAATAATTATGTAGAAAGAAAGATACTTGTAATTTTTCCAGCTCACTCACCAAAAGGCACCAAGCTATTAGGTTTTATTTCTTTAAAAAAAATGAGGCAAACTCTTTTCTTAGAATAATAAGTTGGATTTTTTTCTCCACTCTGGAAAAATCAATTTGATAGAAAAGAAATTACACACTGAATAATGTCAGAAATGAGCCCATAGGAAAAAACCTTCCCAAGAAAAAAAGCAGAAGATCCAACAGTCTGACAAAATTCTCAGAAAAAAAGATAAGTACAGGTAGGGCTGAAGAAGCATGCTAGAGTATGAATCTAATTACGTATTTGAATTTGAAGATAAAATATTCGACACTGGTAAATATCTACAGAACTCTTGTAAAGACAGAGACTTTTTTTAAAAAAACAAAGAATTGCTTGCCACTCCTTAATAAACTTGATATTTACCATCACCCTATACTACAGTCACTATATATTCTCAATTCTTTCCAACTGGTTTTACTCTTCTTATGCAGACACCCTTTTAACAATGCTGTTTCTAACACTAAAAGATTCTTTTCCTTCATTCCACCTCTCAGAAATTTTCTTAGCTAAGAACTAAAATAGAAAAAAAAATAACAAAAATTTGGCTTATCCATGGGTCAAGTTCACGTGATCTAACCTATCAGTTGAGATAAAACAACAAGACAATTATTTTAGGTATGTTTTATCAGCTCCTGTACTGAATGTTGCAAACCATTCTCAGCTCTTCACAAGTTCTCAATCTGGCACTCCCTCTTCCTCTTGGTGCAATGGACCTCTCCATTCAACTTTAAGGTGAAGTGACATGCCAATGAAGCCTCCACTCATTTCCTGCTTCATCACCTAATAATCTGAGTTGATACCTCCTCCCTTTTACCTCCCTCTCAGGAAGAATTGCCCTCCTCCTGTCCAAGTCACCCTCAATCTGTTCTCCCAATCCCAACCCTCTAGCTGGGCTCAGTGGACCACACTGGCAATCCCAGCTACTCCAGAGGCTGAGGCAGGATCACTTGAGCCCAGGAGTTCCAGGCTGCACTGAGCTATAATTGCATCACTACACTCCAGACTGAGCAGCAGAGCCAGGCCTCCATCTCTAAAAAAGAAAAAAAGAAAAAAGAAAAAAAAAAAAAAGAAAGAAATTTTAACCCTCTCAACCTCTGCTGAACTGTCATCCTCAATTTTTATCTCTCTACTAGCTCAAGGTATATTAGATTTTCTCAAGGTGTATTATAAAGCTATCCTTTCTTTCTCTAAAAAAAAAAAAAAAACAAAAAACAAAAAACTAAAAAATATAGTCCACATTTGCTAGTCATCAACTGCTTACTCACTTCTCAGATCTTTCCAACCTCCTTCTTTTATTTCCAAGCGTTTTATCCCCTGTTTTCTATAAAGAATCACCATTAACATTCTAAATGGTAGATTTAATGAGTTTTTACTTAGGACTTACCCTACTTCTCAGCAACATTTCTTACCATTGCCTGTCTTTGTTACTGTTGCCATTACTTCTGTTCTAAAATTCACTGCCCTTTGTTACATAACTTTGCATTTTCTCCATTCCTTATGTCTCTCCTCATGCTACCATCTACCATTCTCTGAGCTTATCTGCTTCATACCATGTACCTGGGAGCTACTGGAAGGGTCTGAGTTCAGCAATTTTATTTCCTAACTTCACTTACCACTTCTTTGTACACGGCATTTTCATTTGTAGCTCTAGTTCCCGAATCTCCTGAGATGGAGATTGAAATTTTATCAGCATGCTGGGTGTTTCCATATGGATTAGCCTCATGCACTTAAAATTTAAGAAGTTCGTGCCAGGCGCGGGGGCTCACGCCTGTAATCCCAGCACTTTGGGAGGCCGAGGTGGGTGGATCACGAGGTCAGGAGATCAAGACCATCCTGGCTAACATGGTGAAACCCCGTCTCTACTAAAAATACAAAAAATTATCCGGGCGTGGTGACGGGTGCCTGTAGTCCCAGCTACTCGGGAGACTGGGGCAGGAGAATGGCGTGAACCCGGGAGGCGGAGCTTGCAGTGAGCCGAGATCGCGTCACTACACTCCAGCCTGGGCGACAGAGCGAGACTCCATCAAAAAAAAAAAAAAAAAAAAAGTTCGAGATCAGGCTCCTCATTGATCCTCGAACTTTTGTACTGCTTGTTTCTATGTCAATTATTGGCATCACTATTCTTCACCTTTAAATTTTACAGTTATTGTTCATTTTTATTTTCCTCAAGACCTCTTCTTGACATATTTTATACAAAGAAAGAAAACAGGCTAATTGTCATTGTTCCTGATGTTTTAAACTACTATGTACTAAATAAATGTTAGTTTTGCTATTTTTTCATTTTTCTATTTGATTTTAACTGATAATAACAGACTCTTTAATAGTTTGACAAAAATGTTAAAAGGTTGTGAAACAATTATGTTTTTTTCTTTTTGATTAAGATCATTTTGCGTGGTTTTAGCTTATACTGTCATTTTTATAATTCCTCATTACTCTGCAAAGCAAGAAGGCCTGGGTGCACTATGAATTCAGTTTCAATAGTCTTTGCACATGCACTGCACTGTGCATGGGGTGCTCTTCCTCAGCAACTTCATTTCTCTTTTTAGAGTAAGGGCATCTGCAGATGGCTGAAGGGAAGTTTCGCCGTTGGCTTTCAGCCATCCTCCTGAGAATTAACCACTTCAGTGCTGTAGGCAGCTGTGATAATCAGCGAAGCTTCCAGCAATATCTGGGTATCCTCCTGAGAATCACACTGACTTTAGTGTTTCAGAGAGCTACATTTATTAGCAATGGCTTTTCTGTAGTTCTGTCATTTCTGGAATTTCTGAAAGCCAGAAGTAACTTCCTGACATTTGCTTTACCAGCACTTCCAACATTTGTCTCTATGCTCCTATAATAAATCATGTTGTGTTTATAATACCTTTAGTGATGTCTGTTTTCTTGTCTGCCCCTGACTGATAAATCATTTGGCACCATAAGCACTTCCTAGGTAAAGAATCACCTGAAGATAATATTTTTTATTGGCTATTTCATTTAGTGAGATTTGTAGGCAGTAATGACTTTACCATCGGTGGAAAATGAGATGAAAGTCCATAAAATGCAGACAAAACAGTTACTTAAATTGTCACTTGTAGTTACCTGGCATACAGAGCCTAATGAAAGTGAAGCTGGAGAGTCCAAGTGACTTGGAAAAGAATGACAAGAAAGCGATGAGCACAAGGACTGTGGGGGAAGATGTCCACACTGAGATTAAAGAACAAGAATGCTCAGGATTTTAAACTCTCAGCTCAAGGCATGATCAGAACACTAGAATGCCTATACCTGGACTGGAATCATCTTTTATCTTCTGTAGCCTCAGGACTTATGCATTAAAAAATCAGGCCCAAACTTTGAGGCTGCAGCCTGCAAAATTACCATGCAAGTTAAATTCACAACCTCAACAGTTCTCTTCAGTAAAAGGTAGGGCATTGACCATGAATCAGTCAGGATGCAATCAGAAAAGGAGAAACTGTTCTGAGAGCTTAAAGCACAAGGAATTAAAAGCAGAGGTTTGGTTACACTGTTGACAAAAGAGGCTTAGAATCTATTAAGGATCACTGATACACATCCCTACCTGTGTAGCTCTACCGAAACTTCTCTGGTTTCAGCCCATCACCATCTCTGGTGTAGCAACTGAAGTAGGTTATAACTGGTAGCCCAGCCTCTGACATTTATTTTCTTCAAAGCACATTTCAGAAGATCTTAAAGCACATCTCTGATTTGCACCCTACAACGAAATACAGAAACTGGCTAGTGTTCTGTAGACTTGTGGTCAAGTCCTAACTCATAGTGGGATAATGGGCAAAGACTTCTCTGAGTCAAAATTTTCCAATAAATAAAATTTTAACATTGGCATAGATTGGTAGATTTGAAATACTATTCACTTTGGGATATTTTGTTAAAAGCATTACTATGTGGGATTATAAACAGATTAAAATAGAGTTCCTATGAATGAGGGCTCTCAGCGCCACGAAGCCATGCCCAGTAAGCAGCCCCAAACTCTGCTCCAGCCCCCTCCCTGCCCACCATGTAGGTGTTAATGAAGATGTCTCATTGCATATTTTGAAAATCACTACATTAGAGGATTTTAAGGTTTCTTCAGCTCTAAATATTTTTCTCTCACTTTGTAAACAATTTTTAATGACTCTATAATCCATAAGAAATTAAATTCAGTCTTCTTAGCTTAGACATTGAAGGCTATTTATAAACTGGTTCTAACTTACTACACCTTTATTTTTAAATCATTTTCTTCACAGATATTGTGCTTCCATCATTTTGGACTACAAGTTCATGTTGAAGGAATTAATGTATGTTTAGAGAGCATTCAATGTAATTTCCTAGTTCTAATATACTAATGTGCTTCCTTTCTGTATGTCTAGAGCCCTGCTCATATACCTACTTGAATCTTATGTATCCAAGGCCAACTTCTTGATTGATTTATCAATTGAGATCATTTAGTTTCATTGATAAGTGAACCATTTAGGATTGTATTGACTGCAAGTAACAGAAAATCCTAAATATATTAGTAAATATATAAGGGCTTTTTTTTTTACGTGAATAAAGTGAGTAAAGGCAGCTCAGAATTGTATGATTGGAAATTATTGGAAATCTGCATCCTTCTTTCCCATCTGCCATCAAGCATGTAAAGTTGTCTCATAGCTAAGATAGACGCAGATCTCCAGCATTTTATACACATTCCAAGCAGCTGAAGGAGAAGCTTGTTAATAGTAAATGTTTGAGTTTTCTGTTTTTCCTTTTAAGCAGGAATCCCAGAAGTCCCACCCAACTTCCTCTTTTGTCTGGAATTTAGACACATGGGTGAAACTTGTAATTTGGCACCTGAATAATGGTTCTATTACTGTGGAAGACAGAAGAATGGACATTAGATAGGTGACTCTTAGACTCTGACACAGTAACAAATCTATTTGCTCCTTTGTGACTACAGTCAATTTACTAAGCTGTGAAATTCTATCTTATTTATCTTTACTTTCCAAGAACCTGGCACAGTATCTCAATATATGAACGAATAATAATGAATCAATAACAACATTGTCTATTTTAAACTGACATTTGGCTAGCTAGTCAGAATGTCAAGAATAGACCCACTTTATGCTCGTACTAGTTCTATGAGAAGTACTAGGAATAACTGGCCAGGAGAGACAAAAATAATTTTTGAGAATGATCCTTCAAAAGAACAAAATGAAAGCTGAACATTATTAACTTCATTTTTATGACTGCCTGTCAATAAAGGCAGGGTATAATATATATTCCTGTATCCAATATTATTTTTTATTTTGTCCCATATTAAGAGCTTCTCTTAACTTTTCACATGTATCTATGTAAATGATATACATTTTTTAATGATTTAGATATATAAAGGAATGGAAGTTTGATTAAGTGCATATAAGCATTTATTATTTTGCCACACCCAGAACATTTATTATTTTTTGTATAGACTTTCCAATGTTTTACACATTAGAGTGAGAAATAACATCCTGTTTTTACAACATTAAGCAGAAATCTCCATGAATTTAGAAAATCCAGGTTTTATACTAATAAAATATCAAGGGAAGCTTCTGCACTTCTCACTAGCTTTAAGTGGTTCCTCAGCAACCAGTCACAAAATATTGAAACAGATCACTGTGGACTATGCCATCACACCAGAAGCCATATTTAAAACATCTATTCATCTATCTATCTATATATTTATGTACTTATCTATGATCTGTGTATCCATCATCTATTTACTGCCTTTCTCCAAAAATAATGCAAATAGTTCACAAATATACATATACTACAATAAGTGATATAAAAATGAATTTTAAAATATAGGCAACAGTAATCAGCAAGAAAACATTAGGCTGAAAAAAAAGCAGATCAATCCAGCAATTAAATGAAATGTTTATCCTAACATCCTACTCTGTTTCTAGAAGTTGGTCGTTAATCTGGTTTTCAGATTTCTCATAACCCAGAAACATTCATTCAAGAGAACTCTGAGGTCAGTACTTGGGGATCCAATTAAACACCTCTCATGATCCCATGGAGATAGAGAGTAGAATGACAGGTACCAGAGTCTGGGACGAATGTCTGGGGGTGGGGCAGAGAGAATGGCTAATGGGTACATACATACAGTTAGATAGAAGGAATAAACTCTAATGTTCTATAGCAGAGTAGGGCGACTCTAGTTAACAACAGTGCATTGTGTATTTCAAAATAGCCAGAAGACAGGACTTGAAATATTCCCAACATATAGACATGATAAGTGCTCAAGGTGATAGATATCCTAAATTCCATGACTTGACCATTACACATTCTATGCATGTAACAAAAATCACACCCACTCTGTAAATGTGTACAACTATTATTTATCAATTTTAAAAAACCTATCAAGAGATTTCTGGATCTAAAGAAATAAGATCGTCCATTGACAGTTAATCACGAGATCATCATTTTAATAGAAATGTTGACTCCTAGACCAGGTGACCATGGAGGAAAATGGATGGCAAATGCACAACACACACACAAAAGGGAGTTAGAAGGAGGGAGTTATTGGTCATAGACACATTAAAAAAAAGGAGAGATAAATTTATCTTTGTGTTACTGTATACTGTGTTTAGGCAAATAGAGCTTTTTCCCCTAAGATGTTATTGATGTTCCCTGTGAATGAGAACTGAGTTGAACACTGTTAAATGAGTTTGGGAAATACTGAATTAAACAATGCTGGATCAATTTCCTTATTTTAGGAATTTTCAGGGCCTTTAATATTTAATTTGCATCATGATTCTGTAAGGGGGAATAAAGTATATAGGATTTCCCAGACTTTGTTGGCAATTACGGCAGATGGCATGCTGTTTTCATTGCACTGTTCTCCCTCTTGGACACAGGAAGACCCAGCCCGCTCTGCAGTTAGGTCAGGGCAATATGAATGAATTTTGACTAATAGGATGGGACAGAAGGGACAGTGAGAAGAGGATAAACCACTTCCGTGCCTGGACATTTTTTTTTTTTTTTTTTTTTTTTTGCAGTTCTTCAGTTTTCTCTTTTTCCATTATGACTTTGGAGGCCACAGGTTCAAGATAGCATAGCTACAGGATGGATAAGAGTCCCTTGCTATTCTGTATTGAGATGTGATATAAATGAAAAGTAAACTTTTGTTTTGTCCAGTCATTAAGATTTTAGGATTTACTCGTAAATTGGTCCTAGCTTCTCCCAGCTGAGAATTGCAGTCACAGCCCCTAATTTTTGAACGTCTACAAACTTCTTGTTTCTTAACATGAAATGTAGCTCCTAGATAGATGGCTGAAAAGTATACACCCTAGAAGCTGTTACTGTTTATTTAAGTTACTTAAGAGTAACTTAAATGTGAAAGAAATTTTACCAAATATCCTGAGTTTTGTTTCAGAATGTTTTTATTTATTCACCTGTAAACCAATACCCAAATAATAAGCGCAATATCTTACAGGAAGTAATCCAATGCAGATCAACAAGAGACCTACATTTTAGACATTTGCTTTCATGCAATCATGGTTTTAGATCTTTGCTTTGTCTTTTGGTCAGGGAAGATGCTGAAAAACAGTGGGCTGTCATTTTTCCAGTGACTTCAGAAAACTGCGTTGAGGCTCCTGATCCCAGTGTCTTTCAGCCCTGGTTTGTTTCCCTGGGACATCGGATGTAATTTGTTTTAACACTATATTTCTCCAGTAAAGGAGAACTATCTATTCAGGTATCTGTTTTTATTTTTCACACACACACACACACACACACACACACACACACACACGACTCTACATCTGATTTGGATTTCACTAGTTTTTCCACAATGTCTCCTTTTTGATCCTGAATCACATCTAGGATACCACATTACATTTAGTTGTCATGCCTCCTTAGCCCCCTCTGGACTGTCTAGGACAGTTTCTCAGACTTCCTTGTCTGGCATTTCCTTGTCTGGTCATGTATTCTGCAGAATATTCCTGTGATAGTTACTCTTACGTGTCAACTTGGATAGGCTATCATGCCCAGTTATTTAACCACATCCCAATCTAGGCGTTGTTGTGAAGGCTGACACCAACAATGTTGTGGCTAACATCAACGATGAATTGGCATTAAGTAAAAGATATTACCCTCGGTAGTGTGGTTGGGGCCTCATCGAATCAACTCACCAGCTTTATTAAGCTGCAATTAATAAATAAATGAAAATTGTATATATATTTATGATGTGCAATGCGATGTTTTGATACATGTATACATTGTGAGATGATTAAATCAAGCAAATTAACATATCCCTCATCTCACAAACTTACCATTTTCTTGTGGTGAGGACATTTAAGATCTACTGTTTTAGCAATTTTCAAGTATATAATAACTTGATATTAACTATAGTTACTATGCTATACAACAGATCTCCAAAACTTATTCCTTCTAACTGAAACTTTGTACACTTTGACCAACTTCTCCCCGCCCCGCAACCATTGCCCCAGTCCCCAGAAACTACCATTTTACTCTGCTTCTATGAGTTCAACCTTTTTAGATCCCACATATAAGTGAGAACATGTAGTACTATTTGCCTTTTGGTGTCTGACTTATAATTTTGTTTCTTTTTAAATGAGTGGAATGGGGACTTTAAGTTGAGAAATAAAGATAAGATAGAAGCATCATGCTCAAAAACTTTTTAAGAAATGATGAGGATAAAGGAGAAATATAAACAATAATTCCTAGTTCTCCTTATGGCAGAGACAATAAAGAAAATGATAATGACTTGCTGAGGAGTCAAACGACAGTATACAGTCATCATGAGGCAAAATACCCAACAAGGAAATGAGGGAGAGTGCGAGAGCAGGGGCCAAAAATGGCGAAATAAATGCAGATAGAGGATCACCCCTGGCATGAGCTCTCACTCTTTGGGGCAGTCCTCCAAACTCATGCCTCATATCTTACAGCAAAGTGGGGCATCCCATCCTCCCAAGTGGCTTCAAGTGCCACCCTGTCCTCCAACATAGACATTCAGATTCAATTAAAGGCAAGCAAGCAAAATAATACAACAGAGAGAGCCAACTTTTGATCCCTGATTTAGAGATTTCTGGTGATCCTTTGTGTAACTAGCATAAAAGACAGCTGAGAACAGTGAGATCAGCACAGACTAGACAAAAGGGGTGCAATAATAATAATTTTGCAGTTTGAGAATAAAAATGTGCTCAGCACAGGACACAGTAAAAAGAAAAGGCTTAATACATGGTAGCCAATATAGTATGTCTTTTAAAAAATAGGGGTTTCAGTAAAGAATTAGGTATTGTACTGCTTTTTCTACATAGAAAAGTCCCACTGAGTGATGCCCACTTACCATAAGAAAGAACAAGAGGGAATAGAGAGTGACTGTGTGTTTGTATGTGTGTAATATCATATGATCAGTTGTAATCAATAATTGACAGCGTGGCTTGGGGTGTGTGTGCAATTTCATTGCACACAGTATTTTTCATGTATATTACTGGAGTCGATGGAAAGTGACACTACAAACAGTTAAAAAAGAATCCTTATTGGACATAAATAAAGAAGGGATAAAGTTATTTCATCTCCTCCTCCTTCCTTTCTAAAGGAAAAATAGAAGACTCATAGCTAAATAGTGTGAGGTGAGAAATTCCTAAAGATTTGAAACATATGTATTGCATTTCATTGCACAGATCTAGAACATTCTTTAAATCCAAATAAAATCATGTGTTTGGGTTTGATGCTTGTATGTAACCAGAAAAATACCTAAAATTGAGAACAAGTATCACATACAGAGATCAAGTGATTCACTGGTTCAAGCCAAATATTAGAATTAGTGAACTTTGTGTGTTTTCAGTTGACTTACAAATTATATATGTGTTTTTTCACACATTCATATGTTATAATATGTATATGTTGGATGAGTTTATTCACACATTTACAGCTTTCTATTTCCTGTATTACCTTAGACAAGTATGCATAAAGAATTTGAACACTTACTTCATTTAATTCATATTCTTGTGTGGCAAAGTAATTTGGTGTGATAGCATTTTTGTCGATTTTCTGTTTTGTATTTCCTTACTGTTACTACCAGACAGCTGTTGAAATTTCAGGCCAATGGTTGATATCCCTCCCCCATCTTCAAGAAATTAACATCTAGTTGTATAAACATTTATTAATAACAATGTGTGTTCTTGAGAGTACAGACTTTCATAACAAAAAAAGATGAACCAAACTGTTTCTACCTATGAGCTCTCTTTTGCAATTCTTGCTTCCTCTGTCAATTATTCCTTCTGCCTGTAGTCTACCTAGGTTGCGAGTAGGAGGGGAAGAGGGAACGAAATAGAGAACCTCAACACTTGGTTGCTATGATGGGATCTAAGGCTATTTCAGTTTGTATACAGTTTACATTGCCCTCTTGGTTACCATAGAGATATTGTTAAATGTCATTCACAAGGTTGGGCTATATTAGTGCAAAGCCTGGAGTAGCTGAACACTAAGGGGGCATTACATCGACCGTAGGGGAAAGGAATTCACTGGGACATCCGTATGTTCCAAGAGGAAACATAAGCAATGAGGCACTGAGCATGAAGAGCTGCAACTTGAGCCCACCTCTCCTGACCACTATATCATACTATTCTTTTAAAATACAGTTCAGGTTTCTGGGTAAAACAGTTTACACAGCATATATAAGGGCCAAACACCTCTCTCTGGTCCAGCAGAAATGACAAGAAAAACTGTAAGTCATAAGTAAGCTTCTGAAAGACATGTTGTTAGCATAAGCATATCTAACACAAAATACATTTTTTTAATGTACATAAACATTGCTTTCTCTGCACAGTTTTTGCCAAGAGTTAAAATCCAGATGTAACACTTTATGGAGACAAAAACACTTACAGCTACTGTATTATAATTCCTCACACTACCAATTAAGAAATTCTGCCCTGAAGTATGAACGTTTCTCTGAAATTCTCTACAAATCACCATTAATAAGATAATAGGGCAGAAAAATTAGCAGGGAGTTCATTTGATTTTTTTCCCCCCTAAAGGCTGGCTTTAGTTAGAAAATTTATCTACATTTCTATTCTAACACATTGTGAATGATAAATGAACTCTACTGCTTAAAGGACATGACATTGCTATGCTATTTTCTTTCATCAGAATATTCTACCTAGCTCAGTGCTTGTCCCCTTGTAAGGAATAGAGAGGGAAATGAAACTCACTACTCTGAAGACCTCAAGTTTAGGGCATGACTCAAAATAGTAAAAAGAAATAGTCTGAGAGGCACAAGGCCAGCCAGAAAGCTGATTCACTGTTTTGGACTCTATCAGGTCTGTCTGTTCCAGCTCATTCTACATAGGAAAAGCAATAAGGAAGCAATTTTACATTGCTTTCATCACCAGATTCAATGGCTTCACGACCAGAGACAGAAAAGATACTTTTCCAGAAACTGAAAGCTGAATGCGAGAGGGAAACACATGGCCTTTCATCGCTTCCCCCACGATCTGTCTGCACTCGCTTCCACTCTCTTCTGTATTATTTGAAGAACAGGCTTCTTATTCAGACAACCTCCTGTATGATCCCCATAGCAATGGCTATAACCCTGATGGGTGACAAATGTTGAATTGGTATTGCTAAGGGGAGTGCTTCAGTCAGAGAAAGAAAAAAAAACTTGCATTCTTTTACAGCTGTTACAAGAAAAGTCAATTTATTATCACTGGTTAGTTTTTGAACTTGAGGAACATGGTGGCTAACTCCCTCATTTTAGGTTAGAGATACACACGTCAGCTAAGAACAGGGCAAAGTGAGAAACATTACATTTATAGAAAAGAGAATATGAGAAAAGTTGACCCTCAGAGTTCAAGTGGTATAAAGTGGGAAACATTCTAGGAGAAATGTTTACAATTCAGTTTTTGGCTATTATGAGCTATGGTATTTTCTGAGTAGGCTATTTATTAAATGAAAACCTTATGCATCACTAGCATTAGGTGTAAATCCTATTATGCATAATAGGGCAACTACTAGAACTCGTTTGCTAATATTAGAAAATGATAGCAAGAAATCTGTACTCATGTTTTCTAGAACATAAAAAATTGAAACAGCAAAATATTTATTTTTAAAAAGTCAACAAAGACAGGTCATTCATTTCTGATGTTGGTAATAAACACGTCAGAGAAAAAACATTGTAAGGCACATTACAAGAGTAAAATTTTGCAATTCTCTTGATTATTGCAACTCTTTTTATTTTATTTTATTTTATTATTATTATACTTTAAGTTTTAGGGTACATGTGCACAATGTGCAGGTTAGTTACATATGTATACATGTGCCATGCTGGTGTGCTGCACCCATTAACTCATCATTTAGCATTAGGTATATCTCCTAATGCTATCCCTCCCCCCTCCCCCCACCCCACAACAGTCCCCAGAGTGTGATGTTCCCCTTCCTGTGTCCATGTGTTCTCACTGTTGAATTCCCACCTATGAGTGGAACATGCAGTGTTTGGTTTTTTGTCCTTGCAATAGTTTACTTAGAATGATGATTTCCAATTTCATCCATGTCCCTACAAAGGACATGAACTCATCTTTTATGGCTGCATAGTATTCCATGGTGTATATGTGCCACATTTTCTTAATCCAGTCTATCATTGTTGGACATTTGGGTTGGTTCCAAGTCTTTGCTATTGTGAATAGTGCTGCAATAAACATACGTGTGCATATGTCTTTATAGCAGCATGATTTATAGTCCTTTGGGTATATACCCAGTAATGGGATGGCTGGGTCAAATGGTATTTCTAGTTCTAAATCCCTGAGGAATCACCACACTGACTTTCACAATGGTTGAACTAGTTACAGTCCCACCAACAGTGTAAAAGTGTTCCTATTTCTCCACATCCTCTCCAGCACCTGTTGTTTCCTTTTTAATGATTGCCCTTCTAACTGGTGTGAGATGGTATCTCATTGTGGTTTTGATTTGCATTTCTCTGATGGCCAGTGATGGTGAGCATTTTTTCATGTGTTTTTTTGGCTGCATAAATGTCTTCTTTTGAGAAGTGTCTGTTCATGTTCTTTGCCCACTTTTTGATGGGGTTGTTTTTTTCTTGTAAATTTGTTTGAGTTCATTGTAAATTCTGGATATTAGCCCTTTGTCAGATGAGTAGGTTGCAAAAATTTCTCCCATTTTGTAGGTTGCCTGTTCACTCTGATGGCAGTTTCTTTTGCTGTGCAGAAGCTCTTTGGTTAAATTAGATCCCATTTGTCAATTTTGGCTTTTGTTGCCATTGCTTTTGGTGTTTTAGACAAGAAGTCCTTGCCCATGCCTATGTCCTGAATGGTAATGCCTAGGTTTTCTTCTAGGGCTTTTATGGTTTTAGGTCTAACGTTTAAGTCTTTAATCCATCTTGAATTAATTTTTGTATAAGGTGTAAGGAAGGGATCCAGTTTCAGCTTTCTACATATGGCTAGCCAGTTTTCCCAGCACCATTTATTAAATAGGGAATCCTTTCCCCATTGCTTGTTTTTCTCAGGTTTGTCAAAGATCAGATAGTTGTAGATATGCAGCATTATTTCTGAGGGCTCTGTTCTGTTCCATTGATCTATATCTCTGTTTTGGTACCAGTACCATGCTGTTTTGGTTACTGTAGCCTTGTAGTATAGTTTGAAGTCAGGTAGCATGATGCCTCCAGCTTTGTTCTTTTGGCTTAGGATTGACTTGGCGATGCGGGCTCTTTTTTGGTTCCATATGAACTTTAAAGTAGTTTTTTCCAATTCTGTGAAGAAAGTCATTGGTAGCTTGATGGGGATGGCATTGAATCTATAAATTACCTTGTGAACTCCCATTCACAATTGCTTCAAAGAGAATAAAATACCTAGGAATCCAACTTACAAGGGATGTGAAGGACCTCTTCAAGGAGAACCTCTTCAAGGAGAACTACAAGCCACTGCTCAATGAAATAAAAGAGGATACAAAGAAATGGAAGAACATTCCATGCTCATGGGTAGGAAGAATCAATATCGTGAAAATGGCCATACTCTCTGTTTTGATTATTGAAAACATTTAGCCAATAAAGAACTTCCTAGAAGATGACATAACAATGAGAATGTTACTGATACATAAATGAAAAGTCCTACAGTAAAAAATATTAGAATATTAGAATGTTCCATAAAGGTCCTCTATTCTGTGATATAACCCAACTGCTTTCCATTTTGGACTCTTAATATTTTATTTGTTTGTATGGGTTTTTGTAATTCCTACCTAGCAACATGCATTTATTGCTCTTCTGGGTGGGGGAGAAGGGCACTTGACAGGGGCAATTAACTTACATTACATTGTTAAATCCTAACTTTAGACTGTGAAATCTAAAGAACCTATTAGCAAAATCAATCAATATAATGAAAATATGGCATATAATTAGTCCGTTCTTCCTCACTTTGCCAGAGGTCAAAATGAAAAGTAAATGTGTTCCAGGTGTTAAATAATTTATTATAATTTAAAAACTATACCTAATAAACAGTATATCTCTTCATATAGAACACATGCAAAATTAAGGAACTATAAACTACAACATGAAATATCATGCTTCATGATTCTGCGTTGTGTTTTAATCAATAACTCTCACAGTACACAGACCATGTGAGTGCTAAGATATTAATAATGTCCATGCAATGGGAAAACCATTACAGATGACTTTCAGTAATTTTCCCCAGCATGTATCATTATCAGCTGGCACTGCTGATTCTTTCAGGAAATCAAACTACTATTCTGTTTAGAAGTTAAAGTAAATAACACCTTTCACACTTAGATGCTCATGGCTTTATTTTAAAACAGTTTAAGGATGATGTTTAATATACAGTACAGGCTTGGCTGTAAAAATGTTTCTATTGCTTATCTCTCCTACTGAGTTTTTAATGAAAGAACTCATTTCTAATTAACTGCAAATAATCAGGCTAAAAACAAAAAACAAGCAGTCAGTATTAATATTAGGGAAAAATTTGTTCTTTTTAAAAAAGTAACAGATACTTTATGTCCCATAAGTGCATTATAATCTCTCAGTTATGAATCAATTATCTTAGACCTGTGACCTGGTATTTAATTAACCAAGGGGCAAATTCATGAAGAAGTATTCTACTGAGTGGAGATACTTAGTTTAGCTTCTAAAAGTGTTCAGGTTTACAACGAAGGAGTAGCTTAGATATCAAAATTGGTTAGTGTGATTTCAAGTTACAAAATTGTGCCTAAAAAAAATATTAATCTCCATGCTTCCTAGTCCATCATGTAGATGTGAATGTATGTGGAGAAGGTATTAGAGTTAAGAAGGTATTAGAAGGTATAAGAATACAATAATATTCATTTATAATCAAGCCCTATAATAGTATAGCAAAATAAACATTAGCAAAGGCAATTTTACAAAAGCTTTTTATTGATTGAAATGAAAGACATTTTCTGAAATGCTACAATTACCATTTCAGGGCTTCAGAAAGACTGAGATACTGGCATTTAACAAGATACTTAGTGGACAAGAGATCACAAAATAAAACACAAAATGAGACACGGATGAGTTCATACGTAATGGCTTTTATATTACCTTGGATATAATTCTTTATATCACTACTGCATATTTATTACAGTATTTCTAAACACAATTTGAAAAAAAGAAACAAAGAAACAATCTTGGTACCTCATAATTTAGACCAAAAGATATCAGAACAAATAGAGCCACCAAATATCCATCTTAAATACTGTGTACATTTAACAGAAATAATCATACATGACAAATGATTCAAATTTGAATTTAAAAGGATCAAATAATTAGCCAGGAAAGCAAAATGTTTTTAACATATTATATATAACACTTCCATTTGAGAATCCTAGCTGCTAAGATGACTTGAAAATATGGTCTAGGATTCCTAATATTTTAAACATATTCTCCCATCTACTTAAATAAAAGTTTGCTGTATTTGCATAAACCAATATTGAATTTCAGACACTTGATGGCTTGGCTAGACAACTGTATTCTGAAAAGCATACATGTTATAAGCTGTGTGACAGTGATAACAAGAAAACAAAACACAAATCTGCATCTGGTGGAGCTGAAATCAGGCCTCTTCAATTCGGCAGATCCACATTCTGAAGGATGAGGGCCACTCTGCTTGGAATGTACACCTACGTCAAAACAATTATGTCAGTGCAATTGAAGAAAGTACCAAACGGCCTGTCATTATGTCAAAGAAACATAGGCATGACGCAGTCTCACATCTGCCTAAAGTTACAGTTACCTTTACAATTTTACAAGCTCTTAGAAGGCTCAATTTCACAGTTCCAACAGTTCTGGCAGCAACATGACTACCATAAAGCAACCACCACTAGAGGGCGCCATACGACTTAATGAAAACCAATGCTCCTTACACAAGAATGACGTGAATGGCCCTGTTACTGCCATGTTGAGGCTGTATTAGGTGGTGAAGGAAGGCTGCCCCACAGTTTGCAATGTTACTACTTCATTTAGATGAAGAAAAGCAATATACAAGGCACTGGTTTTCCATCAAGACACTTTTATTTTTAATCTTGTTTTTTTTTTTCCTTTCAAGAACAAAAACTGAAATGTAATACAAGGAATCCTAACTCTCAATTTAAACCAATGAATAAGCTTGCCACTGCACTTAAACTAGGATTCAGATTCTCTCCATGGCATGCAAAGCCCTGACTCGCTCCTCCCTGCCTACATCTGGTATCCCAGCTCAGCTCCTTGCTTGCATCCTCACCCACTACACTCCAGCCGCAGGAGCCTTTCAGTTCCTTGGACACAACAAACACTCCCCTTTTGTTGGATCTTTGCCTATGATGTGCCTTCTGCTGTAAACACTCTTTGCCTTGCTGGTTCCTTATCTCTTGGAAAAATCCCAGCTATGTGGAGAGGCTTTCCTTGACAACCCTAGATATGATAAGTTCTTCTTTTCCAATCATGGCAGCTTTTTCGTTTCTTTCTGAACACTTAACACAATTTGTGAATGATTTTTCAGGTTTACCATCTGTTTCCCTCATTAGACTATGAGCTTTACAAAGGCAAAAGTCATACGTTTTATTTCTAACCCTCAGTTGGTGCCACTGAACAAGGTAGATGTTGATGACTGAATTAAAAAAATGAACAATGAACAAAGGAATAATAGTGGATCAATAGGTGCATATTTAACAAGATATTCTCTAATATATCTGAATTTTTTTATAAAATTGAGAAGTGATTTGAACTGCTTAATGCTTATTTATATGCTAGTTCAAACAACTTATCTAAGTATTAACAAAGCAAACAGTAAAAATAATATTGTAGATGGTTGTCATTGTGACAATCTGTCTTCACTTCTGACTTTGCTGATATTTTACTATTTTCAGTCACTTTATCTCTAAATGAAAGCTTGCCTGATGGTTTAAAAAAAAAAAGCTTTCAGAGGTTAGAACCAGAATGAAGGTGCAAAGCAAACATGACTTTAGGAAAAAACTCAAACAAATAGAACAGTTGATTTTCACTGAATGAGACTTGTATGTCCAATGCATCTCAACTCTACAAATGTTTTCTCTTAAGGTTCCACAATAAAGAACCCATACTACTCTTAAAAAAATCAGACATATTGATACAGCTGGTTAGTTTTTAACATCAAAAGTTAAAGCAGTTTTAAAATGGTGGCACTTATATTCTGGATTTAATGGCTAGAGAATAGTTTTTCTAATCTTCAATTCAAAGTAATAGTGATTTAGGAAATGAAAGTCATCTGCAAAAGATTAACAAATGCCAGCAGTCGCTGTGTAACTCAATGTCTCATGTTCTGTTTTGCAATACAGTATTTCCAAAAAGATAAATATTACATCCATGTAGTCACTAAGTGTGAGAAAACCATGTATTTCAGTGCTACAAACTGTTTCCCTAGAGTTTACACATTGTATTTAATATCTCATAACTATCATACCACATCAGAATTTCACTGCTAATGCAATCCTTTCCATGCAATGTTTTCTCTTTGTCATACGTAAGATGTTACGAGACTGATTCAATAAAAGGAAGCTGGAGTTATCCACGAATAAAGCAGGACTATTACCAAAGATCCAGACAGACCCAGTCCAAAGGAGGGCACATTTCCATAATCAAGCTACAGACAAAATGAACACAAACCAAAGCAAAGAAGGAGAAAAAAAAAACAGCCTGATTCAACCCATTCCCTCCCTACATCTTAGCAAAACATGTACAAATTGAGAAAGTGACCTACCCTTCTAAAGGAGTTTCCCATGTACTTATTAGGATGTCTAGTCTACATCTTTCTTTCTTTCTTTCCTTTTCTCTTCCTTCCTTCCTTTCTTTCTTTTTCTTTCTTCCTTCCCCTTCTCCCATTCTCCCTTTCTCCCTTTCTCCCTTTCTTCCTTTCCTTCCTTCCTTCCTTCCTTCCTTTTCTTTCTTTCTTTTTTTTTTTACATGGAGTCTTGCTATGTCACCAGGCTGGAGTGCAGTGGTGTGATCTCAGCTCACTGCAATCTCCGCCTCCCAGGTTCAAGCCATTCTCCTGTCTCAGCCTCCTGAGTAGCTGGTATTACAGGCATGCAACACCACACTCAGCTAAATTTTGTATTTTTAGTAGAGATGAGGTTTCTGCATGTTGGCCAGGATGGTCTCAATCTCTTGACCTCGTGATCTGCCTGCCTTGGCCTCCCATATTGCTGAGATTACAGGCGTGAACCACCGCAGCTAGTCATAGTCTACATATTTCATTTTGGGGATCACAGTAACTGGATTTAACTAATCAGTGGGACAGAAGGTTACAATTTGAATGGTTCTGAATTGTTCTGCCATGAGCAATCTAAAAGTGAAAACCAATCTAAACATTTCAGTAGAACCAGAAACTGGACAAGAGAATTTCAGTTCCCTCTACATTGAAAACATTTCTCTTATAGAGTATTGTCCTACAATGCAGGTAAAAAGACCCTGATAAGTCCAAGGTTCCTGGGAAAGTTGCAATGAAACACATTAGACAGGCCTAGGATAAATAATGACAGGTCTCTGTTAGTGCGTGTTATAGTGACATATCTCAGATTTGGATCCTATGCAATTGTGATATCTACTGTTTCATTCATAACCTCATTATTTCATTAATGAAATATAATAATAATTACATAATGATAATTTAGAACCAGTCTTACTCTTTGATGTTTTGGCATTTTAGCTTGTCTAAATTTAGCTTGTCTAAATTTTTTTTTTTTTTTCTTTTTAGAAGGAGTTTCGCTCTTGTTACCCAGGCTGGAGTTCAATGGCACAATCTTGGCTCACCGCAGCCTCTGCCTCCCAGGTTCAAGTGATTCTCCTGCCTCAGCCTCCTGAGTAGCTGGGATTACAGGGATGCGCCACCACACCCGGCTAATTTTTTGTGTGTTTTTAGTAGACACGGGGTTTCTCCATGTTGGTAAGGCTGGTCTCGAACTCCCGACCTCAGCTGTTCTGCCTGCCTCGGCAGGCTGGGATTACAGGTGTGAGCCACCACACCCATCCGAGAGGGTTTTTTTTTTTAAAGGATGCCATAACAAAGTTCCAGGTTTGTAACATATGCACTGCAATATATTCCCATTGTGGCACTTAATGGTTAAAAAATGCTCCAAGAACACTCACTAACTGATGCTGGTCTTTTTATGTAAGGAGGTTTATAATGACAGTTCCATCATACTTAGAGACCTCTTAATGCAATATGCTAAAAAAAAAACCCTTTGGTTCACAATTGTACAGTATCATTAACAGAAATACTTTGTAATAATATACATATATTTCACTGCAGTGTTAATTACCAGAATGTGTTTATATTGCTCCAGAGCCTTTGTGGTATAGGCAACATGGAAGAATTTCCCTAAGCCAGTGATTTTTCTTAACTATGGCTATTTATGGAATTTTGAGTTTTCTTCTGAGTATGTAAATCAATTTTCTTAGTGGTTAGAAAACTACTACTGATTATACTAAAGAACGTAAGATAATCAGAGCTAACCCTTATGATGAGACAATTACAGACATGAACAATTTGGGGTTCCTAAAATTTAGCCTAAGTATTGGCTCTGTAATTCTCATTTTATCATTTTAATTTATAAAATAGTTTTGATTAATGTGGCAAGAGAAAAGAAACATGAACACATTTAAGTAGATTTAAACACAATCATTTAAGTATATTTAAATATAAAAAGTATATTGATGTACCTGTATATAGAAGCCACTTATCATTCATGATAATATGCATGCTGATAAACATATCTCATATGCTCATTTATTAGCCTGTAAGCCCTAAACATTTTATACCTAGAATCGCCTTAAGAACATGAGACAACGTAGTATACAGCCATGAGTTTCATTTTTTTCTAGCTATATTAATAGTCTGCTCTTCACAAAGAGTCAGAATAGCACAGTACAATCCAATTCATTTATGAAGAGAGTCAAATGCATGCTAATCTACTCAGTTATTTTGACAACTTTAATGACTTAATTGACTCACTAACCATGAGTGTGGCTAAGACAATAACTGCTCACACAATGCTCTATTTTATGTCATTCAGGCAAAATGTTATTTTCCTCTAGGACTGTATTTTCCTCTAGGACTAATAATTGACTTGCAAAATTTAATTACACAGTTTTTGAAAACACAGTGTCAAACATTTAAAAAAAGAAAAGTTTAAAATGAAAAAATATTTAATACTTTAAAGGGCAATTTAAAAAATTCCCTTAGAAATTGTTAAGTTTAGAAATAGCACATACACATATAATTCTGGTAGAATGAAAACATCATTCAGTGGGTCGGGCATAGTGGCTCACGCCTGTAATCCCAGTACTTTGGGAGGCCGAGGCAGGTGGATCACCTGAGGTCAGGAGTTTGAGACCAGCCTGGCCAACATGATGAAACCTCGTCTCTACTAAAAATACAAAAATTAGCTGGGCGTGGTGGTGTGCGGCTGTAATCCCAGCTATTCGGGAGGCTGAGGCAGGAAAACTGCTTGAACCTGGGAGGCAGAGGTTGCAGTGAGTCAAGATCACGCCACTGCACTCCAGCCTGGGCAACAGAGTGAGACTCCGTCTCACAAAAAACAAACAAACATCATTCAATGAAAAAGTCATCAGATTCTTTCATAGTCTACATAAACACTTTTTTATAATAAAAATCACAGTTTTTTGAAAAATATAAAGATGATATAAATTAATTTTAGTTTTCACATACATGCTTTAGTTCATAAAATACTTTTCTAAGAAAAAATAAATTTTATTCTTGTATTCTAATTCTCATTATTTTGCATTGGGGTTAGGAGAAAAGTGACTCTAGTATTTCTGTACAGAAATGTATATTAGCTCATCTAACTTGTATACATTAAAAAAGTAAACTAAAAATCAAGATTTTCTTTCTTCTAAAAAACTATTTTCATAATTTTGAATAGAGCAGAAGATATTTTCCAATTGTTAAGCTGTATTAAAACTTACAACTGAGGGGCAATAAAAGTGATACATCTATGCCAAATCCTGTATTTAAATCAAGTCTACTTTTGAACCTCCAAATTTAGAATGAGAGTAAATACATCTACTTCTTATTGATAAGAAACCTAATTGCCAAAGTAATTAGTGCTAAACCTACTGCTTTATTCTCATTTTCAGCATCATCATTCAGTTACCGTAAAGAAATCTAATTCATTTAAGGCTCAATAATCTCTTATCTCTCATTTGTGCTATGGAATTTGGTTTTATGAATCAGAGGAGAGAAAGGAAGTCCCCTGCCTCCAGTGCACTGATTAACATATAGGTTAACATATTAAGTTCCGGTATCAGGAATCAAAATATAGAGAAATGATTATGCTAAAATGGAGTTTCCAATAACTGCCAGTAAAGCAGACTGGCAGAGCTCTGCCCTATCGCTTTTGGACATTTGTGACATACTCTGACCTTAGCAAATACATTTCAATGGCGGTATACATGCAGTTATCCCCAGCTTCACAGTTTCAACTGAGGGAGCACACAGAGACAACGCTAGAACGGTACCTGCTGATGCTGCAGCATGTATGGCTATTTTAAGATTCCTTCGGGCTGTTTGTTGCTATCTTTGAAAACAGATTTGACACTTATTCAGCAGATCCTTTGGATTATTAAGCTTGCAAATTAAGCTTTAGCAAATGCTGTGTACTAGTTATGATGGGCAAAAATTTCATGGAAGAAGGAAAAGTTGCGTTTTGTTCTTCCTTCCTCCTTTTAGTCTGCAAGTATGGGAGGTATGAGTGATCTCACTGGAAGTGGTATAAGACCTACAGCACTTATGATCATGTTCAAGCAACTCCACTGGATCCCAGCACATATGACTCAGTTTAATAAGGAGTTCTCTTATAATGAAGCATTATTAGAATAGGTACATTTGTTAATGTGATTTTTCTTCCTCTGGCTCTTTGCTGAATAACTTAGGTAAAAAGAAAACCCGTTTGTCTAGATTTTCTGTATTTTACTCGTCTGTGTGGGCTCCCTTAATCTCACATTAAAACGAGTGATCTTATCATCTGGAGCCTAAAGGTGTATTTAAACGAGTAATTCCTGAAGCACTGTAGTCATCCAAAACAAGATGTTGCTGCTGGGAAGAGAGAGCTAGCCCTTATCTCACGGCTGTGTTGGATTACAATTCTGTTGCAGGCAGCATTCAGCTCTTTTCTGTTTCCCATGTCCTTGCAGTGCTGTCCTCCTCTATGTATTACTGATACTTATGAGACATTCTTTATTCTACCTGATAATTTACAACTGCATTTTCCACACTGGTGAGATCAATTCGATTAGTGATTGAAAAGTAATCTCCTGATGTTGCTGCCACTTGTTGGTTGGCTTGTTTTAATTATGCCAGCAGATCTTTACTCTCACAAAATTGAAAGGATGCCAAGATATTTTCTGCCCACCTCAAAAGAGTCTGAGCCGTCGCCTAAGAAGATCATCTCCCCAAAGCTGGGAGAAGGTATTCTTAATTGTGTGTCCTGGAAACACTTAGTATATTGACATGTTTAAACGACTGAACAATAATTGCCTCTCCATGACAAGTACAACTTTAAAATACATGTGCAATAGCATTTTACAGTTTCCAAAAAGCTTGGGCATGTTAAAGAGTTTCTGCTTCCTAAGAATCTCTTGCTGTAGGGAAGATAATATGAATCATCTTCATTTTACAGGTGGGGGAAACTGCAGTGCAAAAAAAGTTAAATTAATCAATTTCTCAGTGAGTAAATGGCAGACAAGGGTCAGGATTCCAGGTCCTGTGCCATGGCGTTTTGTGATCTTTTCACTATACCTTCAGGTTCTTCATAACAGAACCCTGTTGGGGTACACGGACATTTAGAAAAGCTGGCTATGTAAGAATTTTGCTGTCTGAGTCTTTCCAAGTCCTTTCAGTCTAGTTCCATCAGTGAAAGTTCAGTTTGCTTGCAATCAGTTGCTCCTTCCCAATGACTCCCCTTTGTGAGCTGAATCATCTTTCCTAACCCCTAAGGGCATCTAACTCTTTTGATTATTTCAGAACTTTATGGTAATATTCGTATTCACTTCCAAAACTATTTTTATCAAACTTATTTTACGTGTCAAAATTGAATGTTCTCACAGACTACAGTAATAATTCCTTTAAGAATGTGATAGCACCCTTGAGCCCTCTCTCTTAAAAATATATATCTTTCTCCAAATATATCTAAAGCTGTATCAGTGTCATCATCAACATACACCCATATGCACACACATACATTTAGGGCAACACCTAATTCTCATAGGACTTTCCACTGCACTTTCCTCACAACCCATAATCCAGCAACTCACTCTTTGTAATCCCTGCTCTTTTCAATGATTTTATGCTATGATCTTTGGCATATCACTTTTATATATAATATGGCAGCTTACAAAGTGGAGTGCTGGCATCACTCTGAGAAGTGGGAAAACAGTAGAAAGATGGAAGACCTAGGGGTACCACAGAGATCCTCATGCCTGACTCCTATCTAAACCTTTGAAAAGTGAGAGAATTTAATGAAATAAGAACTTTAACAGCTATGGTAAAGTCATGTATTTGTTAGGTACGTCCTAGAATTAGGAATGGTAGATGTGGTTTTGAACCTACTATATGGCCATAAATTAAATAATGAATTCCTCTGAATCTAGAAACTTACTAAATTCTACATATTTTAAAGAATTTAAACATAGTAGTTTAAAGCAACATTCTAACATTCTATTTGTGTGAACACCACAATGCAAAAATTAGTTATGTCATATAATGCTTCATTCAGTAATATAAAAAATCCAGAGAATTTTATAACTAGAATGAATTCAGCCTTCAATTTACTACATGAAAGAAAAGAAAGATACATTTTTCATTGACTCCTTTAAGGTGTTTTAAATTAAACTTCATCTGCTAGTCAATAATGTAGAAATCTGCTTAATATAAAATGTTATGGAGAAAACAAGAACAGAAGGAAAGTGAAATGTTGCATAAAGAATAGAAATGTTCATAATTGAAAGAAAAATAAAAAACTGCCTTCTGCTCATTTCTTGAGAAACAGTTTTGAATCCTATTAATATTTAATTTTTGCCAATTGTCCCCTAAATATCCTTTACTATTAGTTTTTCCAAAACCCAATTTTTACACACATTACATCTGGCCAAGCGTAGTCCCCTCTCCCTAACCCCTTTCCTTCATGCTTTTTTTCCATGTTGCTTATTTGAAGAGTTGTTTATTTGAACAAAAACATTACTATAATAAAAGAGTAAATTAAAATAGCAGGAAATATGTTGAGAAACTTACTTACCAAAAGAGAATAGGGACGCCCATTATGTTCAAAAGCCTCAGAAAAAAAGTCAGTGCTGTGGTCCAGTCTCTGATGCCCTCCATATTCCGCTGCATCTGAATCTAGCACAATTTTGAATGTACAGCTCTTAAGGAATTCACAACAGTTGAGGAGTTGAATGAGACATTGTAAAATACGTGCTGAGAGAGCAATTTAGAAGTGAGTTTTTGAGCAGTGTTAAATCATAATTTGTGCTAAGAACTCATTTCTTCTTTTATAGTTTTATGTCTGAAAGGGGCTTTATAGGCTATCTACTGCACACACTCATGAGATCCCTGTTATACTTCCATCACGACTCACAAGTGATCACCCAGCCTGGGACGAAACATACCTAATCTACTTTTCTCTTCAAGCAACCCATTCCACTTGTTATAAATTCTTCTCCATATTGAATAGAAATTTTGCTCCTTGAGATTATATTATTTCTACCAAGACAAGCCATAAAGAATAAGTTCAACATGTAGTCATCTTTTAAATATTTACTAATAGTTATACTATCTCCATGTGTCTGCTAGATATATTACTAAATACATACAGTCAGTCCTCCATATCTGTGGATTTTGCATCTGTGAATTGAATCAATTTCAGATAAAAAATATTCAAAAAAGAAATGCATCATTGCATCTGTACTGAACATCTGATTTTTCACAATAAGTTGTTAGATAGTATTAGCATATTACAGCAAAATTAATAAAAGCTATCATTATGTTCAAATTTATTAGGCTCAAAATGTCTAGAAATGGTACTTGATACAAAAATCTATAATTAAATATGCATTGGTACCTTAGAAATCTTGTTTCTTCTAGCCTAAGTAGAAATACAGATAATTTAAGTGCTTTTTGTTTTGATTTCCTGGAAAATATATCATTAATCTCAGAAATGTTAGTATATTATCATTACTGCAAACATTATCACATTAATAGAAACTGTGAGCAAGGAACAATGAGCCATCATTTTCAACCCTTGAAAATCTTTGTCTAAGTCAGAGATGAAGATGGACACGCTACAGAAACTTTTTCTAGTAGTGTTGCCTCCATTTTAGTCAATCCAGGTCAGCCTTCTCTAATTCAAACTGAAACTGATAATCAGAATATTACTGAGTTGAGAAAGAGAGAAAGACTGAGATGCAAATGATGACTACCAGGCACAGGGACATTTAAAGTCACTCAATATAGCTGAAAATGATTTCAGCCTACCAATATATTTAATGCTGAAATATGGATAATGAAAATAAATAATCAAAGACATGGCAAATAATGAAATATTGTGGAATTTAAAAAAAACTATTAACATAGAAGTTTAGCTTTTGTTCTTCAAAATACTTTGACAAATCTTCCAAAAACTAAAACAGTACAGTTTAGAGAGTAATGTTCTAGAATACTTTAAAAAACAACTGAATTAAAATACCAATTAATGAATTACTGGTTCACAACGTAGGCTTTTGATAGCAGTGGCTAAGTAAGGCAAGCATATCATCAAAAGCAATGGTTCCCAACCTAGGTGTTAAGAATCACTGACTGGTAGTCATGTTATTGTAAGTTCTCACTGAGTAAGTAGTTATGTTATTACAAGGGGTTGGGAATCTATATATGCATTAGGCATTGTCTAAAGACTAAACTATGTTGTTATACACGTTTGACACTGTATTTCAAAGAACGTACATGTTTTTACTATTAAAATGCAGATTATATTGTTCCCTTCTTTGTGTCCATGTTACTCAATGTTTAGCTCACACTTGTAAGTGAGAACATGAGGTATTTGGTTTTCCGTCCCTGCGTTAATTCAACACACACCAGGGCCTACTTGAGGGTAGAAGGCTGGGGGAGGGTGAGTATGGAAAAACTACCCATCAGGTACTATGCTTATTACCTGGGTGACAAAAAAATCTGTGCACCAAACCCCAACAACAGGCAGTTTGCCCAGTAACAAACCTGCACATGTACCCCCTGAACCTAAAAGTTAAAAAGAAAAAAGGAAAGAAACCATTAGACCCAAACATTTAATGTGCCTTTTACACAACGAATGATCAATTATGGGAATGTGACAAGACACAAGAGCTTGTGCCGGGGGCAGTAAATTGTGGGAAAACAACGAGGAAATATATGGGGGAAACTGATGGAAGACAGGGGTTATTTTAGTAGGTTTGTTTGTACAGGTCTGTTTCGGCATGGCTTCCCAATGTCTGGTGACGAGAATGTCCTCCTATTCCCGGCACAGGAAAGACAACTTTTTCACGGGCAATTTTATGATTTGCTTTTAGGTAGAAAGGAGGGGATCAAAGAGCTCTTTCTCCATCTCTTGTTTCTCAAACAGCTTCAGCTCAAAATAATCAATAAGCCAAAGTGGCATATTTTGGGGTAGCATGTTCTGAACCCGTTCCTAACCAAATTCAACTTCTCACTAATAGTAGAGATGATTATTTCCTCCTATGAACACTTTCATTTTAGTCACCTGAATTACAATTTTTAAAATGTTATAGGAAAATTATTTAAGGTTGCAAAACTAAAAGTAAGAATTCCCTCATTTACTTAGGGGCACTTTTTTTTTTTTTTTTTTTTTTTTTTTTTAAGACAGGGTCTGGCTGTCACCCAGGCTGCAGTGTAGTGGCACGATCTTGCCTCACTGAAACCTCTGCCTCCCTGGGCTCAAGCAATTTGTCCCACCTCAGCCTCTCAAGTAGTTGAGATCACAGACACAGACACATGCCACCAGACTGATTTTTATATTTTTCGTAGAGATGGGGTTTCACCATGTTGCCCAGGCTGGTCTCGAACTCTTGAGCCCAAGCAATCTGCCCACCTCGGCCTCTTAAAGTGCTGGGATTAATGAGCTACCATGCCTGGAATGCTTTTTTTTTTTTTTTCTCTTAATAAAGGAGAATGTTCTCAACAAAATTATTTCTCTGACACAGAATTAAATAATATTTAATCGTTATTTTCAATGTTATAGTAAAATAAAAATCATGTGTCCATCATTTTACATGCTTTTCCCACAATAAAGTACAGACTGAGCTTCACACACCAAAAAATGCAATTTTAAAGTCACAAAATTTAATAGTTTTTGTGTATACTTTTCTCAATCAAAGGACAGTAAAAGAACAATTGCTATACAAGGATTCATTTCTCTTTGACACTGAAAGAGATCATCATATTGAAAGTGTTAGAATCTACTTACTTTATATAATTGGTAGCCATAAAGGAAAAGCTTATGAAAGCCATAGAGAAAGTTTCAAAACATCAATTTAGACATGTTTCTCTGGCCTATAATTTAAAGAAAAAAATTTTCTGTGTCCAATTGTGCAATCACCCAGTTCTGTGTCTACATTGCCCAGGGAACACAATAGCTTCCTTTAGAAAATGTGGCCTTTAAAATCCAGAAATTTCTACAAATTTAAACACTAAGTGAAAGGTAATGCGTGTGAAAGAGCTTTATAATTGTGAATTGCTATCATATATTATTCAAGTATCAGGAAACTACATGTTTTAGGAATACTGCTTAGAATTAGAACAAGCCTTTTCAAGCAGGTTATTTGAGCAACTGATTTGTTTGTTTTACACATTCTCTCACTTGGGTACTCCCTCACTCTCTCTCATGTGCACACACATACACACAGATGCACACATATGTACATACATGATATGGGACCCACACAGCACCACAATTCCTACATCATCCTTTTTCTGTGAAAATTTATCTCTGAAAATATGACTCAAAGCCAATGTATACTTATTTTAAACTACCTTCGTTATATGGTTTCCAATACATAGCACACAAAATAAATTTAGCAGGACACCTTAAAAGGTCATCTGTTATCCATAGCTACCTCCCTATGCCTAGCAGAGGACCTTCTCCTAATAGGTTCCCAATTTCCCAATAAAACTTTGAAACTGATATTCAGAATGACAACACTGACTTACCAAGAAAAGCCAAATTACATATATTGTTTTTTATAATTGAGGAAAGTACAATAAATTATCTTTACTCCCCCATTCATTTACTAAGTACATACAATGTACAAGATATTGTGCAAGAAACAAAAATAAGGAAGACATGGTCTTCATGTACATGTGACTCACAGCCTGTAAAGGGAGATTAGGCATGCATATGAACATGCGTAAATAGAGCAAAAAGCAATATGCAATGAGAGGGAGAGTCAAGGAAGAAAAATATGAGGGACGAGCCATATATGAAGACTTTTGAAGGCTGGGTTAGGGTCTTAAGACTTATTTTATTAGTTAAGTGTGATAGTGTTTAAAATTCTTGAGAAAGTGTATCACAATAAAAAAAAAATTAACCCGGAGGTTGTAAACAGTATAAAACAGACGGCGGAAAGACTAAGTCGGGAAAAGCAGTCAGGAGTCTAACAACAGTCCAAGGATAGTTAAGTATGGCTAATCTCTGACTGTGGGAAAGGAGAGACATAGACTGAGTTTCAGAAGTACAAGTGACAGTATTCAAAAGTAAGGAAACTGAGACTGAATTAGGGAATCAGAAGTGGAAGGGAAGAGCAGTTGTGCCCAAAGGCAGACAGCTTGTTAAGTGGTAGAGTTGGGAGGTGCGCGTAAGTCAAATGTAGATCTGATTACTTTACTCTCTATATGCGGCACCAATTTTATGCCAAGAATACGGCAGTGTTTTCATATACAGTTTCTTGTTTATTTCTCAGGTTGAAATTCTTCATATTGTTATATTTGAGATAATTCATAAAGGAAAGAGGTTTATTTTGGCTCACAGTTCTGCAGACCATACATATAGGAAGCATGGTGCTGGCATCTGCTTTTGGTGAGGGCCTTAAGAAGCTTACACTCATGGCAGAAGGAGAAGGGGTCCAGGAATGTCACATGGCAAGCAAGGGAGCAAGAGAGAGCAAGGAGGAGGAGTGAAGCTCCTTTAAGCAACCAGCTCTCATGTGAGTGAGAAGTCACTTGTTACCATGGGGAGGGCATCAAGCCATTCATGAAGAATCCTCCCTCGTGTCCCAAACACCTCTACCAGGCCCCACCTCCAACACTGGGAATCACATTTCAACATGAGATCTTAAGGGGACAAATATCCAAAACATATCACATTCCAAGCATAAAGAGGACAGAATGAAAATGACAAGAGAAGAATAAAAATAGAAAAATCAGATAAAATGATATCCATCTAAATTACTGACATAATTAGATATACAAGATTGCCATTCCTAAAAGTAATGTTGAGGTCTGAATATCTGAGATTTACTATACTTGTTCTAGTCCATTTCTTATTTGGTCCATTTGATCATTTTATTAGTAAATACAAAACACTGGATCATAAAATTTACCTTGTTCAACTGGAAAAAAATACAGTGGGAAAAGAATGAAAATTTTTTAATAGTTTTTTTTTTTAAAGGAGATCAAATAGGTCCCTATCAGTTTGGATAGCATTTTAAAATATTATGATTTCTTATTTTAAATTCAAGAGCTTCCTAAGTATTTGATATATCTATCAACAGGTTGAAGTAGATAAGTTTTCAGCCATTATTTTATAATCCATGTCCTTAAATTTGAACCAAGGAAGAGCCAGTGTTCTGAAGGAGGCCTGTACTAATAAGATTAAAGAACAGTGAAGGCATGAAGACTCTTAAATTCAATGGCTCTTCAAATACTTCAAAAGCTGCTGTGTTTGCTCAGGCACTTGATAAAGTGTCTGTTCAAAGTATAAGGATTTTGATGTAAGAAGTACTATCATTTATATCATTCTGCACTAAACTCACTTCACTCCCACTGATGAAGCTAAGGAAATTTATTGTAAGGTACAACCCTTGAGGTTTCAAATTGAGTGACAAAAAGAAGAGTTCTCCAGTGACTAGACGACTATAACGATGGCAGAGCGGGTAAGTTACAATGTATCTTCAAATCTAAGACATCACCCATTTCAAGATGAATTATTTTATATATCTCTAATAAAGTGAAAAAATATCACTACCACATCAATATTGTAAGATACATTCCAACTGAAGACAGGCTAAAATGTGAAATAATGTAGGTTTTTGGAATATGAATTTAGCATGTTATTTTATATTTAATTCTTTAATCAATCCATTCATATTACCATGATTAAAATAATGCCCAGGAGCTAAGTGACCCCAGGAAAGAGAATTTATACCGAAGGCAGAAAATATCAGGTTCAAAATTCTAAGGAATGTTTTAATTAATGGAAATGTAAACAAATGTCTGGTAGGGTAAGAACAGTTGCTGAAAAGCAAGGAGAGTTTCATGATTTTAGTAGTCTGAAGAGATCTATACAGCACAGGGCTTGCCACAATGTTCCAACACAATCCTTCCCTTTTTATGTTACATGGATTGAATTTTATTTATTGCTGGTTGTACTCCAGAAAACCTAAGGTTATAGCTATCTAGCATCTCAAATAGATCTGTCCATTTATTTTATAAACATAGCCAAATTATGCCTACTTTATTGTCCTGAATCACAGAAAAGGCTATGAACTACAACTTTCAGTTTCTTTCTCTAGTCTCTTTCCAAATGCAGGAGTGGCAAAGACTTGTGATATATTACTACATAGATAATGTGCAGGTCTGTTAGTGTGTGGTGGAGGGGTGTCGTGGTCGGGGGGTGTGTGTCTATGTGTGTGTGTATTTGTGTATCTTATTTAGGTAATTCTATCTTTACTTCTGTGATCTAGAGTACACATTAAACTTAAGCAGTCATCATTAAAAATGACAGTTCTGCTAGCTAGCCATTTGTAGAAGACTGAAACTGGACCCTCCCTTACACCATATACAAAAATTAACTCAAGATGGATTAAAGACTTAAATCTAAAGCCAAAACTATAAAAACCCTGAAAGACACCCTAGGCAATACCATTCAGGACACAGGCGAGGGCAAAGATTTCATGACGAAGACACTAAAAGCAAAAACTGACAGATGGGATCTAATTAAACTAGGGAGATTTTGCACAGAAAAAGAAATTATCAACAGGGTAAATGGACAACCTACAGAATGAGAGACAATTTTTGCAAACTATGCATCTGACAAAGTTCTAATATTCAGCATCTATAAGGAACTCAAATTTACAAGGAAAAAAACAAACACACCAACAAAAAAGTAGGCAAAGGACATGAACAGACACTTTTCAAAAGAAGATATACAAGCAGCCAACAATCATACGAAATAAAGCTCAACATCACTGATCCCTAGAGGAATGCAAAACTACAAAGAGACACCATCTCACACCAGGCAGAAGGGCTATTATTAAAAAGTCAAAAAATAACAGATGCTGGCGAGATTGTGGAGAAGAAGGAACACTTAAACACCATTAGTAGGAAAGATATATTCCTACCAATAAATTAGTTTGAACATTGTGGAAGACAGTGTGGTGATTACTCAAAGACCTAAAGACAGAAATACGATTTAACCTAGCAATCTCGTTACAGGGTACATACTCAAAGGAAAATAATTCAGTCTATTATAAAGACACATGCAGGCACATGTTCACTGCAGCACTATTCACAATGGAAAAATCAGGTAATAAACCTAAATGTCCACCAATGACAGACTAGATAAAGAAAATGTGGTACACATACACCATGGAATGCTATGCAGCTATTAAAAAGCATGAGATCATGTTCTTTGCAGGGACATGAATGGAGCTGGAGGCCATTATCCTTAGCAAACTAACACAGAAACGGAAAACCAAATACTGCATGTTCTCACTTAAGCAGAGCTAAATAAGGAGAACACATGGATGCATAAAGAGGAACGACACACTCTGGGGCCTACCAGAGGGTGGAGGGTGGGAGGAGGGAAGAGGATCAGGAAAAACAACTAATGGGTACTAGGCTTAATATGTTGGTGATGAAATAATCTGTACAATGAACCCCCATGACACAAGTTTACCTATATGACAAACCTGCACTTGTACTCCTGAACTTAAAACATAAGTCAAAAAAAAATGAGAGTTCTGATATTTTAATTACTTTTCAAAACTATTTATGGCCATGTGACCTTTATGATTATATTTCTTTCAATGGAATATCCAGTTAGTTTTTTTTTTAATCTCCCTGACTTTAGCTTTTAAAAATCCCCCAATATTATAATATTTCTAAAATAAAATTTATAAGAAAGTAATGTGGAATTAAACAGAGAACTTGCCCGGGCGCAGTGGCTCACGCCTGTAATTCCAGCACTTTGGGAGGCCGAGGCGGGCAGATCACGAGGTCAGGAGATCGAGACCATCCTGGCTAACACTGTGAAACCCTGTCTCTACTAAAAATACAAAAAATTAGCCAGGTGTGGTGGCGGGCACCTGTAGTCCCAGCTACTTGGGAGGCTGAGGCAGGAGAATGGCGTGAACCTGGGAGGTGGAGCTTGCAGTGAGCCAGGATTGCACCACTACACTCCAGCCTGGGTGACAGAGCAAGACTCCGTCTCAAAAACAAACAAACAAAAAAACAGAGAACTTACTAGCGAATGTAATCAAAGCAAATTTTAAAATATAAAAAAGCCAAATGCAACTTTTTTCTTTATACATATATGTGTGTGTGTATATATATATGTGTATATATATATATTTGTTGTTATTAGATTACCTTAAAATTTTAATGACCTTGAAAAAAGCAAGATCTTCATGCATAAGCTAAATATGCATTCAAATGTGTGAACACTGTCTTCGTTAAAAGTTTAAATGACAACCGTACATTTTAATTAAGTGCAAAACAGAAGCATATTTCTATTATAGTCTAGGATGTGCTCATTTCTTCAACAAAAGGTTTCTGGTTTTACACTACAAAATAAACTCCAATCCCTGCAAGTATGCTTCTTCGGCCATACATTTTTAGAAACTGTACAATGCAAAATAGCAATAAGACAAGCTCAAAGGATGAGGGGCTCAAATGTCACTATCTACCAGGTTAATTATTGGATTACTATGCTTTCTGAAATGTATTTTCATGCAAATTATTAGTTTATTTTTAAGCATGCTTAATGACACACATCAGTAAATAGCAAATCAAATGGTAATACAAAATTTTGAGTACTACCTATTTCTCTATGTAAATAGGACATTTATTCTAAATACTTTACGGAATACTTCTGACTAACCTACTTAGAAACTTTTCTGTATCCTAGAAGATTATATAACTTAAACTAAAAAATGTCACTGTTTCTCAATAATTTGAGAAGGAAGAAAAATAGAAAAATGTGCTCACACTTCTGCACTAACCTCTCCCTAAAACTGCTGCTGTCTGTCTGTGCCTTTAGGATTATCCAAAGAACTTGTAAATTCAATTATCTGATGAAGCGATGGCAATTATTTAAAACTGAAAAAGAAAAAAATAACAGATTTTTATTCACCTTTTTAACCACATCTTTTATTATCAAAATGAGTTTACACCCTGCAGACTCAACACTTTTTTTAAAAAAAATTGTGCTTTTAAACTCAAAATAATTTTGATTCAGGCTATAAACACCTTCCCCCAAACAAACTTACTCTGGGAACAGCCTTCAATGCAGTCAAGTGCAATATAGCTAAATAAAAACATAATTGGAAACGGGGACGTCTCTGAAAAATAAAGACAATCATAAGCAGTAAGAAAGCATTATCTGAGCCATTTCAGGCAGAAAGACAGGGATAGGAGACAGCATTCTAAAACACTAAAATATGGTGAGTATCTCCATGAGCTTTAGGGTCTAACAACTGCATTCTAATTCCAGTCCTACCAATTGCTAACTGTGTGTCTCTGAGTAAGTTACTTACTTCCTGGAGGCTCAGTCTCTCATCTGTAAATGGAGGTAACACATCAGAGGGTGGGTGTAGAGATTAACTGAAGCAATCTATTACTGAGTGCTTAACACCCTATGTAGCACTGGGAAAAGTACTCAAATTACTAGCTGCTGTGGCTATTATTACTATAGACCCTGGCTCACTTAAATTGCTGTCTCAAGAGATGAAAAATATAAAAGTGGGTCTATTAATTCTTTATTTTACTTTTTATACTTGACTTGGCCTCTTCTTCCTTTATGATCTTTATTTCTATTCCTCTTTCTCTGTGTCTTTGTTCTCACTAGAATTTGCTATTTAAAAATTTTTACATTAAAGTTTAATCATACAGTACATAGAACTCTTTGAGGACTAGAGTCTTTTTTTAAATTTTAGGGTTTGTCTTTTTTTTTTTTTTTTTATAAAAAAGAAGGTACTTCTCAAGTTTATGAGAAATACTGAGAGAGCTTTTGGTGACAATCCTACCTGAAAATTAAATACCTACACACACTCTCCTGCACCTGCCTTGATTTTTCACCATAGTATTATCAGCTTTTAACATATTATAAATTTAATTATTACATTTTTGCTTCTCAGCCTTTTGGCTAAGATCAAGTGTAGTATCTGTTCTTATCAGTTGAATTTTTGTCTCTCACTATTAAAATACAATCTATATAAGAAATTCCTTTTTTTTCTCTGCCATATAGGACCTAGATTAGAATCTGGCATTTGAGTGAGTGTCTTTTCATTATTTTCCTTTGCAGTCTCCTCCTTGGGTTTTAATTTTTAATCTATGCATGTTTTTGCTAAACTTTGAGAAATAATTTCATACTACTTTGGTCATCAAAGACCAAACTTGAATTTTTCCCTTTGTTTCACAGAGTTAACATGTAAGATCTGTATAAATATAACTTCTATCACAATTCCATTTCATTATCTATAAAGTTTAACTTAGACATTTTAAAAGATTTCATATTCTTTATAAATTTATAACAGAATATTTATAATATAAAAATCCTTCATTTTGGATAATTTATAATAAATGCATGTTAGTTGGAAGCAATTAATTCTCAAGTTAACTATTCTGATTGGTATGAGCCTTGAAGAGAAACATTTTATATAATTCTTAGTTGACATGGATACATGATTCCAGGTTTATTCAAGTCAGCACAAACTCAAAGACTTTCCATATCTACTTTACTGGTTAGCTTTCTCTATAAAAATGACTGAACTTAAGCACAGAACATCAAAGGGGTTTGTCAAAATAATATATCTAATATTTTGGCAGGGCCAGAATATGCTCTTAGGTATAACAGTTTCTACCACTCTACCACCATCTTGCAGATAAAGCCTGCAAAGTGCATAAACTTTAATATATTTAAAATCTGGAAATCTGATTATTTTAGCTGTGGTGGTAGAAACATAATTTTTCTTTATTTGAAGTCTTAACTTACTTGGCGTAACATATAGTTAATGTATAGTCCTCTTTCTCTTTTAAGACTAGATAGAAAATCACAGTACAGGTCTCACTCAGTGCTTTAGAAAGCCGAAGAACAGGGGCTAAACTAGTGTCCCATGAAAAACTGTAAAGCAAAGCTTGCAGGTGTGCATATCTGCATCATCACTTCAGTCTTTCCTGAGCACTTCTGGGCACATAGCCCATAACTACATCAGATTAATTATTGTGAGGAGAAAGATTCAAAGTAAACATTTCCCCATATGCATTTAAAAAATTGGGTACATTTTATACTGTTTGGGTGATGGGTGCACCAAAATCTCAATCACCACTAAAGAACTTACTCATGTAACCAAACACCACCTGTTCCCCAAAAACCTATGGAAATAAAAAATAAAAAATAAGCAAAGGGAGTTTTAAACACACATGCACGGGGATATTTTATACAAACTTTCAGTTATAAGATGAATAAGTTCTGAAGCTGTAATGTACAATACAGTGACTACAGTTAATAATGTGTTATATACTTGAAATCTGCTGAGAGCTGACCGTAAGCATTCTCACACACACACAAGAAAATGGTCACTATGTGAGGTGAGGAATATGTTAATTAGCTTGATTGTAGTAACCATCTCACAAGGTATATGTATATCAAAACATCACACTGTACTTTAAATATAGATAATTTTTATTTATCAGTTATGCTTTAAAACAAAAATAAACAATGGGGAAAGGACTCCCTATTTAATAAATGGTGCTGGGTAATTGACTAGTCATATGAAGAAGAATGATAGTAGACCTCGACCTTTCACCATATACAAAAATTAACTCAAGATGGACAAAAGATTTAAATGTAAGAACTCAAACTATAAAAACCCTAGAAGAAAACCTAGGAAATACCTTTCTTGACATCAGTCTTTGCAAACAATTTATGGCTAACTCATCAAAAGCAACTGAAACAAAAACAAAAATTGACAAGTGGGACTTAAACTAAAGAGCTTCTGAACAGCAAAAGAAACAATCAACAGAGTAAACAGACAACATACAGAATGGGAGAAAATATTTGCAAGTTATGAATCTGACAAATGTTTAATATCCAGAGTCTTATGGAATTCATAAGGAACTTAAACACTCAACAAGCGAAAACCAAATAACCCCATTAGAAAATGGGCAAAAGACATGACCAGACACTTCTTACAAGAAGACATACAAGCGTTCACCAAACACATGAAAAAAATGCTCAACATCACTAATTATTAGAGAAATGCACGTCAAAACCACAATGAGAGACCGTTTTACACCAGACACAATGGCTATTATTAAAAAGTCAAAAAACAACAGATGCTGACAAGGCTGCAGAGAAAAGGGAACACTTATATACTGTTGGTGGGAAGTAAATTAGTTCAGCTCCCGTGTAAAGCAGCTTGTAAATGTCTCAAATAACTGAAAACAGAACTACCATTCAACCCAACAATCTCACTACCGGCTACATATCCAAAGGAAAATAAATTGTCCTACAAGAAAAAAAAAAAAAAGACATATGCACTTGTATGTTTATCACAATACGATTTACAATAGGAAAGGCAGGGAATCAACGTAGGTGCCCATGAATGGTGGATTGGATAAAGAAAATGTGGTATATGTATGCCATGGAATGCTACACAGCCATTGAAAAGATGAAACCATATCTTTTGCAGCAACATGGATGTAGCTAGAGGTCATTATCTTAAGTGAATTAACACAGGAACAGAAAACCAAATACTGCATGTTCTCACTTATAAGTGGGAGCTAAACATTGGGTACACATGAACATAAAGATGGAAACAATAGATACTGGGGATTACTAGAGCCGGGAGAGTGGGATGGAGGCAGTGTCTGAAAAAATACCTACTGGGTGCTATGCTCACTACCTGGCTGATAGGATCATTCACAACCCAAAACTTCGCAACACACAAACAAAAACAAAAGCAAGCAAACAAAAGAACCTCATGTAACAAACCTGTACATGTATGCTATGAATCTAAATAAAAGTAGAACTTAAAAAGATATATATACATACAGCTGGAAAAAATTTTTCCACTAACATTCATCTGTGCTTTTGAGTGTCAGAAACCAGGATGGTATTACCCTGCAGAAAAACATTTAGTCAAAGGCATCATTAACCTCTACAAATATAAATAGAGAAAAAAACCAAAATTAGTGAGACACACTTCATGTACTTCAATGGCATTTCTAGAGGGCAACAAAAAGATGAATTATCTGGTGACCAAATGTAAAACTGTACTGAATTTAGAGAAACTAGATTTAAATCACATTTATTCAATGACTAGAAATACGACCTTGTGAAAATTATAAATCTTTCTGATCCTCACATGTAGATTGAGGACAAAAAATGCTTGCCTAACCAGTATCACTGGAGATGATGTGAGGATAAGATGGGTTAATGTAAGTAAAAGTATTCGCATATTGTAAATTGCCATGCAAATTTAACTTTTGGTACTAATTTTGATCTCTTAAAATAAGCTTGTATTTCAGACACATGATTCATACGACTAATTAAATTCTCATAAAAATTGAAAAAAAATAAGCTTATATATATCTTAACCCAAGTAATTTTGTTTAATTTGAATGGGCTGAGCTAGGTTATACTAGAGTTTTTCAGTTTCAAAAATTTATAATTCCATGCTGCCCAGTTTTGCCTAACAGTCATTAAACATCACAAAATTGCCCACTGCTTGGTGAATAGGGCATAGGTCAAGGTGGGGAGAATCATTAGGGAACATCTTCATAGAGCTGATAGCTGAAGGGTGGGTGAATTTTTCAGGGAAAAGTGCAAGAAAAATGAATAAATGGATTTAGATCTTAAAAAAGATAACATGAAGAATAGGTGGAAAGAAAAAGAAATCAAGACAGTGCTGCAGGATACAGAGAAAGGGAAATAAGAAAGAAAGGTGGGCAAATAGTACAAGAGTGAGGAAGAGATTTAACAGGGAACAGAAGAGTTTCAATTCCAGTACTGCGAAAGGACTGAAAGGAATCACTGTGTCGTGGTGAAATGGGAACTAGGACATGCGAAAAAACAAAAATCAAAAAACAAAACACTATGTGCTAGAGGGCAAAGAGTTGGAGTTCTGTCTTAGGAAAATCAAGGCCCGGAAAGGCAAATATATCCTCGTTTTGTCTTCACCCATGTAATAAAGGTGTTTATTGTTTTGTTCCCCCAAAAAAAAAACAAAAAACAAAAAGTAGGACAATAGAAAAAAGACAACAGACAGGATTAGTACCTATTTGTCTTTCTTTTTTATAAAAATTCATTTTTATTATAAAGTTTCTAATGCATTTTTAGAAGATGATGACAGTAAGGATGTCCATTACCCTTACTACTTGCTAAGCTCAAACGTGGGCGACACTGTTGTTAAGCCTTGCATGCATGTTAACTAATCATGAACTAATTTAATTCTGACAACAATTCTATGAATAGGTGTTCTAGAGATAATAACCAAGAAACAAAGAGGCTATTTTCAAAACAAAACTAAGTGGCAGAGATGGAACTTGAACCTCAGATAGTCAATATTCTAGAGCTCAAGCTAACCACTATCCTTGCAATGAGAGCAAATTTCTTTATGTTTACAAATATAAGAACAAGAAATACCTATTACCTCTGGAGACCTTTGTTACATGAGCCAATGGGAAATAAAAATGTTAGAAGTAGAGAACAAACTGAAGAAAATAATGTTTCAGAATTAGAAAATAATGCTACTACAGGAGAAAATTGTTTTTCCTTTGTTTTCTTCAGCTGGCAAAAAGGACAGATGTTAATAGGGAGGCTGGCAAAGTGAAAATTGGCTCTCTCTCTAAATAATAAAGAACACATGAGAAAAAAAAACCCAGTAATGTTTATAATTTTACATACAAACATAATAATTTTTCATTTTAATTAATGTTCTTGAAATAAAATGATCATTGTGTGACAATAAAACGTACTGAGTGTAATCATTTCATTCAGTTATATGTTAATTAAATAATTTTATTTGATATTATCTAAACACTTTCCTTATTCAACAGCTGATACCACATAACTACAAAAAATAACCATAATTAATTTTGTAAATTAATGCTTATTTATAGGAATTAATTAGGCATTTTCCCATCATTAGGCCAACAGAAACTACATTAATAGAATTAGAGATGGTTCTTATGCATGATTACAACTGAATCCACTGCTTCCAAGAACACACTGTTTTTGGCTCTAATATTTCCAACTTTCTCTGAGAAACAGAAACTTCTTTTGGTTGCAGCTTTCAAAAATGCTTAGGAGCCCGTAGGTAATTTTAGCGAGCCAGTAATTATATCACATCTTAATTTTAAGAAATCATCTGGGATACTCAGGTAATACTTTTATGTAAATAAAACACTGACCACTCAGTTTGATCCTGTGAGATTCTGATTAAGAAGAGCTTCACGGAAAATGTCAGAAACACGAATAATATCTCACGTAGGCAGGCAGGAGATACTCATTGAAAAAGGTAATTTCTACTGGCCAGAAGGAAAAGTAATATAACATCCATGTCATAAATTTAGTTTAGACATAGAATGCTCTATTTAAAACACACTGGTATCAGGTATAAAGATGACTAATACAATTTATTTTTTAAATAGAAAAAAAAACATATATTTTGGATAAATTAAGTAAAGCCTAACTTTAAAAGGAAAGGCTCAATGTGAAATCTTTCAGGCCAATGATACTACTGCACCAGCATAGCTCATTTTATCGCACTTTATTGCACTTTACAAATACACATTTTTACAAATTGAAGATTTGTAGCAACGCTGCATCCAGCAAGTGTATTCGTGCCATTTTCCAATAGCATGTGTTCACTTTGTGTCTCTGTGTCACATTTTGGTAGTTCTTGCATTATTTCAAACTTTTTCATTATTAATATATATTAATATATGATTGTCTATTCATAATTATATTATTTTTACATTATCATTATGTCTATGATGATGATCTGTGACCAGTGATCCTTGTTACTATTGTAATTGTTTTGGGGCACCACAAATCATGCACATATGCAACCACAAACTTAATAAATGTGTGTGTTGACTCCTCCAACCTACTGGCCGTTCCCTTGTCTCTTCCCCTTTTCTTGGGCCTCCGTATTGTCTAAGACCATATAGAATTTAGCCCAATTAATAACCCTACAATAGCCTCTAGGAGTTCAAATGAAAAGAAGAGGGGCATGTCTCTCACTTTAAATCAAAAACTAGAAATGATTAAGCTTAGTGAGAAAGGCATGTTCAAAGTTGAGACAGGACAAAGGCTAGGTCCCTTATGCCAAAGAGTTAGCCAAGTTGTGAACGCAAAGGAAAAGTTCTTCAAAGAAATAAGAAGTGCTACTCTAGTGAACGCATGAGTGATAGGACAGTGAACACCAGCCTACTGCTGATAGGAAGAAGTTTTTGGTGGTCTGGATCTAAGATCAAACTAGCCACAACATTCCCATAAGTCAAAGCCTAATCCAGCAAGGCCCTAGCTCTCTTCAATTCTATGAAGGCTGGGAGAGGTGAGGAAGCTGCAGAAGAAAAGTTTAAAGCTAGGAGAGACTGGTTCTTAAGGTTTAAGGAATAAAGACATCTTCATAACATAAAATTTTAAGGTGAAGTAGCAAGTGCTGATGTAGAAGCTGTAGCAAGTTTTCCAGAAGATCTAGCTAGGATATTGATAAACGTGACTACACTAAACAATGGATTTTCAGTGTAGATGAAGCAGGCTTCCATTGAAAGATGCCATCTGGGACTTTCATAACTACTGGGAAGACAGTATCTGGTTTCAAAGTTCCAAAGAACAGGATGACTCTCTTGTTATGGGCTAATGCAGCTGGTGACTTTGAGTTGAAGCCAATGTTCATTTACTGTTTCCAAAAACCTATGCCCTTATGAATTATGCTAAAGTCTACTCTGCTTGTGCTCTATAAATGTAACCACAAAGCCTGGATGACAGCATGTCTGTTTACAGCATGGTTTACTGAGCCTGTAAGCCCAAGCTTGAGACCTATTTCTCAGAAAAAAGATTCCTTTCAAATATTACCTGATTGATGAAAGCATCTGGTCACCCAAGAGCTCTGACTGAGATGTACAAGGAAATTAATGTTGTTTTCAAGCCATCTAATACAACATGCACTCTGCACCCTATGGATCAAGAAGTAATTTCAACTTTCAACTCTTATTAAGAAATATATTTTGTAAGACTATAGCTGTCATAAGCAGTGATTCCTCTAATGAATCTCGGCAAAGCAAATTGAAAATCTTCTGGAAAGGATTCACCATTCTAGATGCCATTAAGAACATTTGTGATTCATGGGAGGAGGTTAAAATATCAACACAATAGGAGTTTGGAAGAAGTTAATTCCAACTCTCATAGATGACTTTGAGAAACTCAAGACTTCAGTGGAAGAACTAACTGCAGATGCAGTGGAAATTGAAAGATAACTAGAATTAGAAGTGAAACCTAAAGACGTGACTGAATTGCTGCAGTCTCGTGATAAAACTTTAATGGATGAGGAATTGCTTCTTACAGATGAGCAAAGAATATGGTTTCTTGAGATGGAGTCTATTACTGATGAAGATGCCAGAGATGGCAACAAATGATTTGGAATATAATATAAACCTAGGTAATCTTTATCAACTAAGTGGTGGGGTTTCAGAGGATTCACTCTAATTTTGAAAGAGTTCTACTGTGGGTAAAATGTTACCAAACAGCATCACATGTTACAGAGAAATCTTTCATAAAAGGAAGAGTCAATCCATGTAATAAACTTCATTGTTGTCTTAGCCACCACAACCTTTAGAAACCCCACCCTGATCAGTCAGGAGCCATTAACATCAAGGCAAGAGCCTCCATGAGCAAAAAGATTATTACTTACAGAAGGCTCAGATGACCATTAACATCTTTTAGCATACAGTATTTTTAAATTATGGCATGTACATTTTTTTTTAGACATAAGGCTATTGCACACTTATTAGACTACAGTATAGTATAAACATAACTTCTATATGTATTGTGAACCAAAAAATTTGTGTGACTTGCTATATTGCAATATTTGCTTTATTCCAGTGGTCTGGAACCCAATCTGCACTGTCTCCAAGTTATGCCTGTAGATTGCCTTCTTCCATATTTGCAGTCTAGGAAAAGAAATGGTTAGCTAATGTGGTAATGAGTATAAAATACTTTCAGAGTGCAGGACATATATTAAGTTTATAAGAGACAGTAGATCTTATTATGAAGATCTGCTCAGCAAGCACATCATAGTATAATAATATATTAATTGTGAATTCTACAAAATTATGATGTATTTTATTGATAATAGCTTATCAATTTTTATACCATTTAATTAAATTACTGTTTTAAGGGAGAAGCAAATCATTTTAGTACTATTTGTCTTTTAATTACATAATTTTAAACCTTCAGGAGTTATTTCACCACTAGGTAGCTACATACTCCATTTATCCATCCATCCTTCCATCTGTCAGTCAGTCTATCAGTTCATCAACCCCTCTATCCATACTCCTATCAGAGATTTAGCTCTCTGTTTACAGGTACCTAGTGTATTCTAAGTAAACATATCATTGTTGATATATAGGTAATACTCTGTCTTATCATCCATCTCGAAGTTTACAAACACATAATAGTATCTCCTTTTTAAAAATTGATGAAAATGATCACCTTGGGCACAAATGTTCCTCCCCCCCAAACCCCAATGAAGGATACTATTACTAGGTGATTATGCACTGTCTTCTTTAAAGGTTATGACAATATTTCTGATATATTTTTCCTCCAGAAGGGCAAGAAATAGAAGACAGAAATTTTGACTGGGCTATTGTTAGATGACTTTCTGAAGTGAAGAGACCATCATTGCACAACTGAGCTATGAAACAAAAAAACCAGAACTGCTGTTAAATATTTGACAGCACCGTGATGGCTATTCAAAACAACAGGCCCCTGGTCCCCCTTCAAGAAAAAACCCCAAAACTAAATACATTCGTGTGCAGTAAGGACTTGCTCACTATTCATTACTGCCTATAATCTTATGAATATATATTAAGGCAATCTAAAAGTGTTATAGCAGTTGCAATATTTTAATCATGCAAAATATTTTTCTTACTTGGTGATTCATCCCTAATTCCTGGGTAGAGAAATGAAGCTAAATCATAGGCTTTTTATGACCAGGGAGGTGAGGGTACTGGTCTGTCATTATCATTAAATCATAGGGATTGTTAGACAGTGTTTAGCAATGAAAAAATGATCAAAAGGACCTCTATGTTTAAAAGTATTAGTCATTTCAAAACTAAAGAAAGTGAACCTAAGCAATGAGCATGCATCCATTATAAAGCTATTTTAAAAAAGGAGGACCTATATTAAATATAAAATTGTTAGTAGGATCATCTGTCTCAGCTCTCATAAAGCTCATCATCAATAAATTGCAGCATAACATAAAGGAAAAAGAAACATGCCTGTATCTGGTGAAAGTCACTGTGTAGAACTTCTGGAGAAAACCCTGAATTTGCTTTTTTACCAAAGTATCTAAAACCTGGAAAACTAGAAAGTTGAGATGCTCTATTTAGTCAGACCAGAAATTATCCTTTACATATATAATCTGGATAGAATGTGGTAGTTAGCTAATCCTAAATTAAGTCCTTTGTTTTTATTTGTTGCAAAAAGCATAGATTCTAATAAACACAGTGTTACATCACCACACTTCAAAGCCTTCTGTAAACCAAGCAACTCATAGCAACATCTCTGCCTTCAGCAATCACACTGCAGTAAATCATCCAAGTGACCTTATTTGCTTATTAGAAACTCTGTGTACAGGTTGCAAATGTCAGAGTATGAATTTACATTTTAAAAAGTGCATCTTGCAGTGGTTTAATGAAAATATTTCAACTATCTCAGGTCAAATTCAACTATTTATACCTCTGCTCTCTTGGGTTTAAAGATTTAGTCCTAGATTCACATATTCTTCACAAGCCATACCTCATGAACACTCCTCTTAACGTCACAACATTGTAACAGTTTGAAATGCCATTTGGAAAGGGGGCTGTTACTACACTATCATTTCCACTCCCACCTCAAAAGTATGCTGATAAATAATTTAAACATTTGATTCTTGTGTTGTTTATGGTCTCAGAATGATATTTATCTGTATATACCAACACAAACACTTTATAAATAAGCTGGGGGGGGTTAAAATTTCTATTGTATATCATGTATTAACTTAAACTGATGTAATACATCAGTTTAACTCTGAAAATAGAACCATGACACATTCATATTCTACTCTAGAATACAGAAAAAAAAATCACAATAATTGAACTTCACATGTAAGTTTTGCTTTAAAATTATTTTTCTTCTTGTGGAAGATGGCAAACAAGATCACCAAGAAGAATTTCTGGGGAAGAATTTGTCAGAGGTTATGGCAGGGCAGTGAGAAAAGTGAGTTGATTAGAAAGAAACCTGCCTGGGCCACAAGTCTGTATGTAATTTTCTTATTCTACTTATATTCCCAGAAGTATTTTCAAAATTATTTTGAACATTACAGAAATAAATCATCAATAATACCACCATTGCTACCACCCCCAACCACATGTACATACTCCAGGAACAGAAAGAGGCACCAGGGTGTAACAGAAAGAATATGGGCTATGGAAAACACTGCTTAACCTTTACCTGCCATGGGCTGGAGGGAAGGCTTCAGTTAATTAAAGGCCTCAGTCTCTACAACGTGCCTTATAGTGTGGCCCAAAATACAGTCACAAGTTGCTTTGTGCACTTCACTTTATTGTGCTTTGCAGATACTGTGTTTTTTTCAAATTGAAAGTTTGTGGAAACCCTGGCTGGGCAACTCTGTCGGTGCCATTTTTCTAACAGTATATGCTCACTGCATGTCTCCGCATCACATTTTGGTAATTATCGCAACGTTTCAAACTTTTTCATTATTACTATACTATATTAAACTGAATACTTTATAAAAATGATTAGCAAATAGAAGGCCCACAAAAGAGGGGCCCTAATACTCACATTCTCCCCACATCATTTAAAATGTGGTATAATCATTTGTATTGTTCAAATGCATTAGAAAGAGCACTCTGGTCTTGGGAACAGAGTATTCTTTCTGATTTAATGCCAACTTGATAATGTTCTAGGTGAAGAAATGCCACTAAAGAAATATAATAATGATTCTGATGATATAAAAGGCATTATGTTTCTTTCTTTACAGCTAAACAATGTGAAAACTTAAGTGAATATAATACATCAGGAAAATGTATTTTATCTTTCTAAGCATGAAATATGAAACCTGCCTATTTATTAAGTACATGTAGGTCTCAGCATTACCCACATTTCTATCTATTGCATTAAAGAATATTGGTGATTATTACACTGAAGATTAGCAGCTAAAAAGACAAATGTGAGAGTATACAGGCAAAAGGTTTTTGTTGTCGTTTTGTTTCTTGATTTTTTTCCTAGAATATGGCTGTAGATTCTACTGCAGAAACAATTATAAGATGTCCTTTGGTAGTCACCATGAAGGCCACATTCAAAGCTTTATTGATACAAATCAGTCTTGCCTCTCAGTTTTCCAAACGTATTCTCTTATTTTGAAGAGATAGTTAAAAGCATCCTTAGTGTTTCTTCTACCTTGCCTGGCATTACCTCCAAAACAGCTCCCCTTCCAACAGTTTTTGGGATGGCAGTCACCATCTATTCTCCACAGGTTTGAGTGAAAATTGATGTCTTGCTATTTGATATACAAGATCTACAGGTTCAAAAAAATTGAACCTGTTCAAAAATTCAGACATGTTACCTATAGCAGGGTTATATTTCCTAGGGACAGAGGAAGTTTAAGTGGCTTCTTTAGAAAAGTTAAATTTATTCTGGCACCAAATCCTGCTTCCCAGGGAATTAAAAATTTGATGAATTTTATTACTTGATTAACACATGCAATCTTGCCATGGTAGACTCTTCACAGTAAAAATCTGTATTCAATTCACTTGCTCAGTAGTTAGAAATACCAATGGCATAGAATATTTTGCTAAAGACAGAAAATATACCATTGAAATCCTAATTTTTAATATTTTGTATATCTGAATTCATTCTATAATATTGAACTACACTGTAGGTTAAAAGTACAAGAATAAAGTCAGAAAGATAAAAGGCCAAAATGAGACAAAAAATGCAAGGGAGAAGAAAAAGGACTCTTAAAGCTAAGCTTGGAACAACAAAAAGTTAAAAGAAGAGATCCATTTGCTGGTTATGGGAGATGCTACAATCCTAACAGATTAATAACAGAGAATTGTCCTGTAATATTCTTTTATCTTTTCTAATAGGTTAGAGGGTCAAAGTTAATATTGTACTTTTCCAAGTTTAATGTTAAATTTGGGATTTTAGGTTGAAATTATTAACTGAATAAATAAAGAAAAAGGAAGATATGACACAATACTAGGATACAAAAGAAAAACCCAAGATTTTTGTTTGGATGGAAATACAATGTGAAAGGAAAATGTGATGGCTGCCAGGAAAGCTAATGCAACTTTAACTCCATGAATAAGAGAGCAGCATCAAAATAAAGGAAGGTAATGGGGCTCTGTATGTCATACTTGCCAGACCGTATCTAGAATACTCTGCTGTTAGTGTAGGAGGAATGTGAACAATGCTGGGTGCATTTTAATAAGGGAGATGCAATGGTAAGAGGTCTGGAAAGTATCATGAGAATCGATTTAAGAAACTAGCCATATCTGGTCTGGAAGAGGAAAAAGCAGGGAGAGGTGGTAATCTAAGAAGCATGTTAAATGCCTTTCTGATTTGAATAGCTGGCACATAGAACAGGTGTTAGCCTCAGAGTACAGAACTAATGCGTTGATTTTAAGATAACATTTTTATTTATTAAAAAACAATACTGTTTATCTTGTGAAACAGTGATATTCTTAGCACTGCAAAGTATTCGAATAACAGGTGATTATTTGTAAGAAATTTCTAGATGGGACTTCTGCACTGAACTGGGAGGGTGGAGCAGAGTACCTCACAAAAGGAAGATGTTGTGATTTCAGTCTCAGAGTTATGGCTGGTGTTATTAAAATATACTTAATTAGAAGGTGCGTTGTAAATTATGTTGGAAATGCTCTCCTGCTCCCTTCCTGCCCCCCCCAAATTTAAAATATATAAAGTAAAAAACATGATACAATTCTCCCATTACCTATTTAGACCATTACATCTTCAATACTTTGTGAGTATTCAAAGAGAATTATTAAAATGCAAATATTCTCAGAAAAAGCAATAATGTATGTGAATTTACTACTTGTTAACAGAAAGACATGGAAGAGATGGGTGGTAAGAATAATTAAAGTCCAAGTGGGCACAAATCTGTAACAGGCAAAATGTGGGAAATAGGTCAACAATATTTCTTCATGGTTCTCTTGGAGACCAATTAGATGACTGAGGATTCAACTATAATTTCTATAAAGAGACGACTCAGTTTTCCAATGTCTGTATCATTGCAACTTATAACTAGTATAGCTTCCAGAAGAGGTGACTAATGTAAAAACATTGAGTATTTATTTATTAAAATAGAAAATTTTCATGTAAAAATTACCTATAGACATTTAAGCAGATAACTAAATTTCAGAAGACCCAATTTGTGTCAAGATTTTCAAAACCGAACCAGGCTTTCATATACAGTGTAATTCTGTGTCAGTATATATAAACTAACATTTGGGGGTCTTGCTGACTTATGGGGGTCACAGTAATACACTATGCTATATAATATATATAATACATATATTATTATGTATGCTTTCATAATATTCAATATTTGTTAAAGTTAATATATTAATATATTTTAGATAGATCCTTATAGCTTGACCCAGGATTTTTCTCCTAAATATCATCATGGAAAATTCTATACATTTCCATTTGTTGACAATGATAAAATGATTTTTTAATTTAAATTTAAAATTGTTATGGGTATATAGTAGGTATATATGTTTATGGGGTACCTGAGATATTTTGATACAGGATACAATATGTAATAATCACATCAGGGTAAATAGAGTATCCATCATCTCAAGCATTTATCCTTTTTTTGTGTTACAAACATTCCTATTACACTTTTAGTTATTTTAAAATGTAGAATAAATTACTGTTGACTGCAGTCACCCTGTTGTGCTATCAAATATTAGGTCTTATTCATTCTATCAAACTATGCTTTTGTAGCCATTAAGCATTCCATTTCCCTCTCACTACCCCACTACCCTTCTCCAGCCTCTGGTAACCATCCTTCTACTCTCTTATCTCCATGAGATCAACTGTTTTAATTTTTAGCTTCCATAAATGAGTGAAAACATGCAAAGTTAGTTTTTCTATTCCTGGCTTATTTCACTGAACATAATGACCTCCAGTTCCATCCATATTGTTGCAAATAACAAGATCTCATTCCTTTTATGGCTGAATAGTATTCCGTTGTGTATATGTACTATATTTTCTTTGTTCATTCGTGTACTGATGGACACTTAGGCTGATTCCAAATCTTGGCTATAGTGAACAGTGCTACAATAAAAGAGGAGCGCAAATATCTGCTCCATATACTGATTTCTTTACTTTTGGGTGTATACCTAGCAGTGGGATTGCTGGATCATATGGTAGTTATATTTTTAGCTTTTCTGAGTAATCTCCATACTGTTCTCCATACTGGCTGTACTGATTGACAACCCCACCAACAGTGTATGAGGGTTCTACTTGCTCCACATCCTCACCAGGATCGTTACTGCCTGTCTTTTGGAAAAAAGTTATTTTAACTGGGGTGAGATTTCTCATTGTAGGTTTGATTTGCATTTCTTTTACAATCAGTGATGCTGAGCACCTTTCCATACACCTGTTTGTCATTTGTATGTCTTCTTGAGATGTATATTCAGATCTTCTGCCCATTTTTAAATAAGATTATTAAATTTTTTCCTATTGTTTGAGCTCCTTATGTATTCTAGTTATTAATCCTTTGCCAGATGGACAGTTTGCAAATATTTTTCCCATAATGTGGATTGTCTCTTCCCTGTTTCCTTTGTTGTGCAGAAGCTTTTTAACTTGCTCTCATCTCATTTGTACATTTTTGCTTTGATTGCCTATGCTTAGTTTAGGCATAAACTATGTCTAAGATTTCAGTCTTTAATCCACTTTGATTTGTTTTTTGTATATAATGAGAGATAGGGATCTAGCTTCATTTTTCCACATAAGGATATCCAGTTTTCCCAGCACCGTCTATTGAAGAAACTGTCCTTTCCCCATTGTATGTTCTTGGCACCTTTGTTGAAAATGAGTTCACTGTAGATACATGGATTGATTTCTGGTTTTATATTCTGTTCTACTGGTATTTGTGTCTGTTTTTATGGCATTACCATGCTGTTTTGGTCACTATAGCTCTGTAGTATAATTTGAAGTCAGGTAATGTGATTGTTCCAGTTTTGTTCTTTTTGTGCAACATGTCTTTTGCTATTCTGGGTCTTTTATGATTTCAAGTAAATTTTAGGATTGTTTTTCCATTTATTTGACAAATATCATTGGTATTTTGATAGGGATTCTTAATTTCGTTCTTGACCTAGCCTTGGATTGGTATGGTCATTGGTATACGGCCATTCAGGAATATATTGTTCTATTTGAATGTGTTTGTATAGTTTCTAAAATTCTTCTTGTTATTAATTTATGGTTTTATTCCATTTTGGTCAGAGAAGATGCTTGATATTATTTCAATATTTTTGAAT